>NC_000001.11:174396708-174699738 GCF_000001405.40 Homo sapiens | reverse complement strand
ATAATTCATTATTGCTTACCAACTCTATTAGGCTTTTTCTATGACTCAACAAATCCCTGAGTGATAAAAGTTCCTAATTTTTATTTACCTGCATTAGTCTCTCCAACTGGTAGAATTTGCAATGAAGATCTTCGAAGTTGTTTCTGTAGAGGTCTCTCAAACCATAGTCGTACATGATTTTCACCAAAACACAGAATGCTTGTTCCTCTGGCATCTACAGAAAAATATATACATATACAATATAAATAAGTGGCATTTTGCCAGAATGTCAAAAAAGTTCCTTCATGTTATTAGTCCTCTGCATAAGTAGCTGAAGGCCTGGAGCAAATGAAGTCCTTCAGAGCCAGTCTTTGGCAGAGTGACATGACCTCCTTACTTGAGATGAATTATCTTCTTTTGTTAATTTTAATCATGTTGTCATTCATTCATTAGGCTACCTTTAAAAACAGGCAATACACTCATGATTAAAAAACCAAAGCACACTTTGGGAGGCCAAGGCAGCCAGATCACTTAAGCCCAGGAGTTCGAGACCAGCCTGACCAACATGGCAAAACCCTGTCTCTACAAAGAATAAAAAAATTAGCCGAGTGTGGCAACATGAGTGTGTAGTCCAGCTACTTGGGAGGATGAGGTGGAAGGATCGCTTGAGCCTGGGAGGTGGAGGTTGCAGTGAGCAAAATCACGTCACTGCATTACAGCATGGGTGACAGAGCGAGACCCCGTCTAAAAAAAAAATAAAATAAAATAAAATAAAAACAATGTAAAAAGATCTAAAGGTAAAAGTCTCGCTCCTCCCTATCATTATATATAAACTAATCCCCGGTACCTACACCCCCCAACCTCTTTTGCATAGCCTCATATCTACTCTAAATAATTTCTCCTGTATTCTGCCACTGATTATCTATGCAAATAAAATAATTACATTTTTAATTTTATTTTGTCCCATCCCACATAAAAGATAATATTCTATATACATTGTTATACATCTTGATTTTTTTCCTTAACAATATATGTTGGAAATCTTTCTATCTCAGTATATAAAGAGTTGTCTCTTTATTTTTTTAAAAGCAATTACATAGTATTCCATTATATAAAAGTACTATAGCTCATTTAACAAGTTTCCTATTGATACTTGAGATGTTCCTAATTTTTTAATCATATAAAGCTTCAATAAACCTTGCATATGTATCATTTTGTACATATGCAAAAATGGGGTGGGGTAGAGCACATTCCCAAAAGGGGGAATGCTGGGTGAAAAAATAAATGCATTTTAAATTTTGGTAAATAGCGTGAGACTATCCTCCCTGCGTTTTCTTGATGTTGCTACTTTCTGTAAAATACAGTTTTCAGGGAAATGGCCAGTAAACTCTAACATACTAGCTTTCTCAGAGGTATTTTTATCTGAACAGGGAATAAAGTCTGAAGTCAAAGGAACAAACCTCTAAACAGTGGTATCAACAGGTGAAAGAATATGGAAAGGGACATATCTAATATTCTAGAAATTACACCAAGCATACAGAAAAAGTTGTACTTATTCAATGTCCTAGGATGTAACTATTATACAAACATCTACTTTAAATATTACTTCCTTGAAAATTTACATTTGGTTGATTATGGTATTTCATACATTTGTTAGACTAACTTCATACTTCAGCAAGTGAATCAAGTAGAGTTCCATTTATCCACTTAGAAATGCAGTTGTACAAGATTTCATACAAATCAGCCACTTCTATTTTCTAATTATAAACCACAAAATACCCAAATTTGTTAAATAACATCTCCTGAAGTTAAATAAATACATTATAGTGTTTTCATTTTGATTCTTTAAATATTTGCTTATTTTCTTTTTATCTATGAGTTGTTTGAGACCTTTTCAAAATTTCTGGCCACTGACCTCAGCTATTCAAGTTAGCAACTATTTTTCAGCTTCCGTTTGGTTATTTAGGATACAATTACACTGTATTCTTTACTCCTTTGTCATCAAAGCCTCAAGTGACACTAACTTGAACATATATGGCCAAGAATACTTCTCTTACCAAGGTGTAAGCCTCTTCATCTTCCTCTCAGATCTCTACTCAAATGGCTATACAAAATAGCTGCATGTAAGATAACTGTAGCCAGGCCGGGCGCGGTGGCTCACGCCTGTAATCCCAGCACTTTGGGATGCCAAGGTGGGTGGATTACCTGAGGTCAGGAGTTCGAGACTAGCCTGGCCAACATGACGAAACCCCGTCTCTACTAAAAATACAAAATAGCTGGGCATGTTGGTGTGTACATGTAATCCTAGATACTGGGGAAGCTGAGGCAGGAGAACTGCTTGACCTGGGAGGTGGAGGTTGCAGTGAGCTGAGATCGCACCACTGCACTCCAGCCTGGAGTTTTGAGATTCTATCTCAAAAGAGAGAGAGAAAAAAAAAAGATAACTGAACTGTAGCCAGTCCTAGAGATACTAATTCACTTAAGTCTCTCTCTTTCTAAGTAAATGTCTTACCATCTGATGTCTTATAAAGGGAATATGTTTTTATTTCTTTGAATGTGGTAAAATCATTAGGGCAAATAAAAGGTTTATGTGCCTTTTGGCATTCATACATATAGTCACTGAACAGATGAGGTGCAGGCCCTGTTCTAGGCTTTAGGGATACAGAGATAAAGGTATAGTGCCTCCCTAGGGGAAGAGTAAACAGGCAACTCTACTTGAGTTTCATAAGGATGCAGAAGTCCTAGACTAGGGAATGTTGGGTGTTGGAAGTAAAGGTAAACATCAGAGACAATTTTGGAGGAGGCAGAGCTAGATGGCCAAATAGCAATCATCCTTCAGCAATCATCCTCCCTCAAGAACACCAAATTGAACAACTATCCACGCAAGAAACACCTTCATAAAAACAAAAAATCAGGTGAGCAATCACAGTACCTGGTTTTAACATGATATCAAGGAAGAAGGCATGGAAGAGGATAGAAAAAACAGTCTTACATCGTCTACACCACACCTATCCTATCCCCCCAGCACTGTGTAGAGAAAGAATCCATGCACTTGGGAAAGGGAGAGAGCAGGGATTGTGGGACTTTGCACTGGTACTCAGTGCTGCCCTGTCACAGCAGAACACAACACAGGGCAGAATTTAGCAGGCACACAACAAGGAAGGATTCAGACTGGCCCCAGACAGAAGGGAAGCCCCCTGGTAGACTAAAGTGCCCTGGTGTCCTGAACAAATTTGAAAAGCAGTCTAGGCCACGAGTATTACAATCTTCCGGCAAGTCCTGGTGCTGTGCTGGGCTTGAAGCCAGTGGACTTGGGGTACATACAATCCAGTGAAACACCAGCTGGGGTAGCCAAGGGATCAAATAGAAACAACAACAAAAAAGTAAGAGTGGCTATACTTACACCCCTTCCCCAACTCCAGGCAGGGCAGCTTGGGAGATACTCCTTTTCTGCTTGTGGAAAAGAGAGGAAACAGTAAAGAGGACTTTGTCCTGCAACTTGAGTACCGGCTCAGCCACAGTAACATGAAGCAGAGTCCTGAATCCCCTGAGTCCAGACCCTAGCTCCTGAAAAGCATTTCTAGATCCATCCTGGGCCAGAAGGAAACCTGCTACCCTGAATGGAAAGACCCTGGGGCCTTGAATAAACACCAGCAGCAGCCAGGCAGTAGTCGTCAGGTACCATGCTGGCTTCAGGTGTGACCAAGTGCAGTTGCAGCCATAGTAGCCAGTCCCAGCTGTGGTGGCTAGTGCTTGTGTCACCCTGCTCCTCAACTCCAGGAAGCCCAGCATGAGGAGAAAAAAACACTATTTATTCAGGGGAAAGTGAGAGAAGAGAAAAAGAGATTTTAGGAATTCTCTCAGATCTTACCCAAGCCCACCAAGGCTATATCTCTGCGAGTCTGCAAAAATTGCAGCATTATTTGGCTTGGGGCATCCCCTAAAGCAGATATGGCTTCAGTGACTAAAGACTTAGATCACAACACTTAATTCCCTTTGGAAAGCCTTCTCAAGAAGGACGGGTAAAAATAAGTTCAGACTATGAAGACTGGAATAAATACTTAACTTTTCAATGCCCAGATATCAATAAACATCCACAAGCATCAAGAATACCCAGGAAAACATGACCTCATCAAATGAACTAAACAAGGTACCAGGGACCAATCCTGGAGTGAGAGATATGTGACATTTAAGAGAATTCAGAATAGCTACTTTGAGGAAGCTCAATGACTTCAAGACAATACAGAGAAAAAATTCAGAATCCTATCAGATAAAGTTAACAAAAAGACTGAAATAATAAAAAATAATTAAGCAGAAATTCTGAAGCTAAAAAATTCAACTGACAAACTTAAAAATGTATCAGTCTCTCAACAGTAGATGATCAAGCAGAAGAATCAGTGAGCTTGAAGACAGGCTATATGAAAATACATAGTCAGAGGAGAAACAACAACAACAAAAAGAATAAAAAGACATTAGGCATGCCTGCAAGATCTAGAAAATAGCCTCAAAAGGGCAAATCCATGAATTATTGAGCGTAAAGAGGAGGTAGGGGAAGAGATCAGAGTAGAATATTAGAAAATAAATGGACTGGAGTTGAAAAGTGATGCATAAACCTACAAAATGGGAGAAAATTTTCGCAACCTACTCATCTGACAAAGGGCTAATATCCAGAATCTACAATGAACTCAAACAAATTTACAAGAAAAAACAAACAACCCCATCAAAAAGTGGGTGAAGGATATGAAGAGACACTTCTCAAAAGAAGACATTTATGCAGCCAAAAAACACATGAAAAAATGCTCACCATCACTGGCCATCAGAGAAATGCAAATCAAAACCACAATGAGATACCATCTCACACCAGTTAGAATGGCAATCATTAAAAAGTCAGGAAACAACAGGTGCTGGAGAGGATGTGGAGAAATAGGAACACTTTTACACTGTCGGTGGGACTGTAAACTAGTTCAACCATTGTGGAAGTCAGTGTGGCGATTCCTCAGGGATCTAGAACTAGAAATACCATTTGACCCAGCCATCCCATTACTCGGTATATACCCAAAGGACTATAAATCATGCTGCTATAAAGACACATACACACGTATGTTTATTGCGGCATTATTCACAATAGCAAAGACTTGGAACCAACCCAAATGTCCAACAATGATAGACTGGATTAAGAAAATGTGGCACATGTACACCATGGAATACTATGCAGCCATAAAAAATGATGAGTTCATGTCCTTTGTAGGGACATGGATGAAATTGGAAATCATCATTCTCAGTAAACTATCGCAAGAACAAAAAACCAAACACCGCATATTCTCCCTCATAGGTGGGAACTGAACAATGAGAACACATGGACACAGGAAGGGGAACATCACACTCTGGGGACTGTTGTGGGTTGGGGGGAGGGGGGAGGGTTAGCATTGGGAGATATACCTAATGCTAGATGACGAGTTAGTGGGTGCAGCGCACCAGCATGGCACATGTATACATATGTAACTAACCTGCACATTGTGCACATGTACCCTAAAACTTAAAGTATAATAATAATAAATAAAAAATAAAAAAAGAAAAAAAATGGCATAGTACAGTATTTGCAGGTAACCATATATGTTATATTTGCATATAACATTACTGAAGTAGATGATTTTAGTAATCTACTTTAAATCATCTCTTTATAATACTTAATACAATGTAAATGCTATGTAAATCGTCATTACAATGTATTTTTATTTATATTTTTACTTGTTACACTGTTATTAATGTTTCCAAATATTTTTCATCCACGATTGGTTGAACCTGCAGACATGAAGGGCAGACTGAATATATGTATCTCATTTGCCATTTGCTCTGAAAATTTTCTTGAACCCTGATATTATATCATGTACTTAATAGCACCTACTTGTTTCCTTTAACTGTACTTTTAAAATAATTTACTTATAGATGCATTTGTGCAGTTGTTTGATTAGTATCACTCACTGCTCCACTGAGCTTTGGACTCCATAACAAAAGACACCATGTTTATTTTTTTCACTACTGTATCTATTGTATTTGCCTGGTGCCATCCATATAGTCAGCTCTCAGCTTATATATTTTAAGGAATGATTAAATAAGCAATTGAATGAATGAGTAAATAAACAAATTGCATAAAATAAAATATCATTTGCAAAAAAAAAGAAAAGTGATGCATAACAGTAGAGCTGCAGCATACCATCATATACCATTTTTATCATACAGATAAAACAATGTAAATAGTTCAAGAGCACAGACAACAGTAAAAAGTGGTAACATAACCAGAAAGTGATGAATTTTGAGTACTTATTACTTTTGTTTTTAACATGAGTTATTTAACTGTAAGTTTTTATCATTTAATTTGTAACAATGGCTGTGCTTAACAACTGGTTCACAGAATTCCTGAAAATTTAACAATTGGCCGTCAAAAGCTGGTATGACCTGGCTGTAGCACAGCACTGATATGACCATGATAAAGAGTTAGGAATGTATTCTAAGTGCAGTGGGAAATCAGTGAAGAGTTTACAGCAGCGGATCTGATTTTTATTTTTAGTAAGGTCACGCAGCTGCTACCAATTCCTCATTAGTTCCCAATACTGAGGGACAACTATATTTTGGTTTACTAAGAATCTATCACTTTTCTTTTGTATAAAGGTATAATCTACAAGAACCTATATTCAATCATTCCTCTCAAAACTTTGCCCAGAAACAGATCATGAATATACAAAAGGCGCTGCAGGAGAAATACATGATTTTGGAATTATACCAATAGATGTAATTTCAGGTAAGGTTTTAATTACTCGCTGGGTGATTTTGAGCAGGCAACCTCTTTTAATGCCTAAGATTTTTTTTACTTCTAAAAAATTAGAAATAATAATACCTATGTCATAGGGATGCTACAAGTATTAAGTGAAATATATTTAAGAGACAACATATACATATTGTTGGCAATCACTAAATGTAAATTTCTCTTATCTTTCCTTCCTTAAAGACAGAGACTCTGTCTTATACATTGACAATTACCAAAGTGCTTTATACAAGGATACTCAAAAGAATAAACAGATGCATAGGTAAAATTTTTACTCTAAGATCTTTCTGTTAAAATGATTTGCTGGAATTTAAGTTGATAACATGAAGCAGCAAAAATATGCTGCTTTTCATATAAGTGACAGCATTTCTTGTGTATCACTAGGAAGAATGTCCCCCTCCTCCTCCCCATGCTTTTTATGACTCAGACAAACTGCAGTTTCAAGGTTCTCCACATGGTTTTGTATACAAGCTCAGAGGGAATAACTGGGTTGGGATATACTCTATAGCACAGCTCTGCCTTTAAAATATTACTGATCTTTTAAAACTGATCATAAGTGGCACTTTGTTATTTCTCTTTAACGTGAGGAGACCCCTGCTTTCTCTGAATCCCAAAACTCTTTGTTGTATACCATTACAGTTATTTGTGCACTTCTAACCACCACTTTAATGTTGTACCCCCCGCTCCACAACTCTTGGCATAGAACCTTCAATAAATATCAAGTGTTAAATATTTCTTTAAGATAAACTAGCAAAATTCTGCATATATCTGCCTTTTTAATGAAGTCATACCACACAAGTAGGGCAATCTGTTGGTAACTGCCAACAAAAATGTAGAAGGAAAGTATTGGTGTGAAGGCTAGAAGCAAGGGGCAGCCAAATGCAACTATATTAGCACTTGATTTCCTGTAATTCTATTCCAAATGCTAAATATAAAAAGCTTTTATATTATCTATATTTTGTGTTGACTATTCAGCTTATCCCTCAATCGGCATAAAGAAAATCAACCAAGATGTGAGATGCAATGCTAGGTTGTACTGTCAAACTTCACCTTAGTACGTGCAATTCCTCCACGAGGTAGTACGGTGGTACCTACCTACTTAAAAAAAAAGCACTAAAATGACTATTTAACTTATTACAATGATTAATGCTTCATAGAATAAGATAATCCAATTTATCCAATTTATGCAATTGGTCTAAAGTTACAATAAAAATACATAATTGAACAACACATCTTTAAATAAAATATTAAGGTGTTGGAATATGGTGGGTCTCTAAGACTGAATGTCCATTTTTGCTGTGTACAGAAACTTTATCACCAGTGTTATTTCATTAAGGAAAAGAGGGGATAAACATTAAAATATTATAATTTAAGATATCAAAATATCATCCATGGCTTTATGAAATACAAAACAAAAATACCTGCCTCACATGCATAATTGAGAATTGAGTGATGTAATCACCGTTTGGTAATAAATGTTGATAATGATCTGCCATCTGTACTAATTGTGATGATCACTGAATGGAGACAATCTCCAAGCCCTCACTACTTCTCTCCACAAGAAACTATAAAACAAAGCAGTGCTAAGTATTTCAAGTCTTTAAGATGCACCTGAAATCATTTACATCAAGGTATTTTTTGAAGTAAAACTACATTTTGATAATTTAAAGTAATCCCCATAGTTAGTGTAAAACTAAATTTCCTGCTTCACATGATGTGTTTCACATCTTTTTGGAATGATCTACCTTTCTCTATGAAGGAGATGAACACTCTACTGATATTCCCAATTTTCTTCAACAAAAATGAATGGGCCCGGCATGGTGGCTCATGCCTGCAGTCCCAGCACTTTGGGAGGCTGTGTGTGATCACTTGAGGTCAGGAGTTCGAGACCAGGCTGGCCCACATGGTGAAACATCATCTCTACTAAAAATACAAAAATTAGCCAGGCATGGTGGCATGTGCCTGTAATCCCAGCTACTCGGCAGGCTGAAGCAGAAAAATTCCTTGAACCCAGGAGAAGAGGCTACAGTGAGCCAACATCTTGCCACTGTACTCCAGCCTGGGTCATAGAGCGAGACCATGTCTCAAAAAAAAAAAAAAAAAAAAAGATGAATGCTGGTGAACCTTCAAACTCAAGGTTATTTATCATGTCTTCATTTTTTGTTTACATATTAAAAAGCAAATAGAATGAAAACTTCTAGTCATTTGTCTATTCTCCCTTTAAATCAAATAGCTTAATACATTTAAATTGAATGTCAATGTATAAGCCATAAAATTCTATCACTGTATGATATATTAGTCTCCTATGTGTAATCCATTCAAATTAGTTGGACCAGGGACCAAAAGAAAACTGGCTGGGCAAATAATTATTAATGTAAAAGCAAATAATTATTAATTTAAAAAATAACAGCAACAGTTACCATTATTAGACATATTCATTCATGACCCCATTTGATATTCACAAAAATCCTGCAAGGTAGGCATTATTTTTACATTATAAATATAATACTAGTGAAGTTCAAAGAAGTTAAATGACTTGCCAGTAACTATAGGTCTATTAAGTAAAGCCTGGTTTTAATCTCATAACTGCATTATTTTTGTGCTAGGTACAAAATATGTAAGACTCTTTACACTCATCATAAGGTACTCAATACTCATAATAAGCCTAGAAGGATGATAACAAGAAACTAAAGCTCAGTTGAAGAAACTTGCCCAAAGCCATATAACTTGAAAGGTATTAAACCACAATCCAAATTCACAGTTGTACTTTTCAGTATCCTTTGAAAGAGTTCAGCTTCAAAAAGGCAGAGAGACATAAGATAGTAGTTAAATATTTTTTAAATAGGTAAAATGTTTGTGTGTATTAGGACACAGGGAGATGTTGGAAAATGGCTCAAAAGCACTTCATAAGAATTAACTTGGAATAGGAAAATGAATGCTTCTTTCTCTTGAACTAGAAGGAAAAGTGATTTGGAAGTATAGGACTTACTTTTTAAATACACTAAAAATCTTGTAGTAAGTATATCACTCAAGATGATGTGATGTACCTGTTTAGCATCCTACTGTCCCATCATCTGATATCAAAACCCCTCTTCCTATAGGAAGACCATTCCATTGTTTAGGAGGGGCTGATGGTGTTCACTGATCTTGACTAAAGACCTGGGCTGTGACAATTAGAATGCCCTACCCAACCAGGCCAAAGTCCAACAGGAAGAAAAACAGAGGGAGTTGTTGGTGGTGTTGTTGTGTGTCACTTTAAATAAATGCAGGAGCTATAGCAAAAGACAGTCCCTTTTAAACGAGGTAGCAAAAAATAGTCCCTTTTAAATGAAGTTGTCCTGATCATATGAATCCAGGCCAGCCAACAGTCATTTTGCCCCACTTTTTTGTCTACTAACATAATTAAGACAATAAAATTCAAGAAAAGCAGAGATACAGATTCTTGATGACAAAATATGAACTCTGCAGTCCAATCATGTGAAAAATCATCTCTGACCCTAGATTTCCCAGTTATATGAGTCAATTCTGTCACATGCAGCAGAAAGAGTCTTGAATAATATAATGCCACAAATACTTAACATATATATATGTTATAAATATATATATATACGATAGAGACTTCAAAATGAAGCCTTTATCTTGTCACCTTGGACTCTGGAATCTGTAATAGGTAGTTCTGCTTCTTATTTACTTCCATTGGTTAAATCTTATCCCAAACCTGTCTTTTTGGTGAGAAATATTTTAAAATTTATAATTTTTAATTTTATTTTACTCTGAAATACAACAAACAGAAAAATGTATAAAAGTTAAATGTACACTTTAATTAATACTTGATTATAAACTAAAAAAACTTACAAAGGATGCATGTAACCACTATCTAGGTTAAGAAAGAGAATACTGTCGATAGCCCTGAAAATCCCTGTCTCTTTTCAGTCATGATTCCCAGTTTCTCCCTAGAGAAATCACTTTCGTAACTTTAACAGTTACCACTTCATTGGTGTTCTTTATAGTTTTTTCCATCTATCTAGCATCCTAAAAATAGAATTTAGTTTTGCTTGTTATTGAACTTTATGCAGAATGGAATCATACCAAATGTAATGTTGTACTTTGCTTTTTTTAAACTAAATCTTATGTTTATATGATTCATTTATATGAATCAATGTAGTGTGAAACATTCATTTCCATTGCTGTATGGCATTCATACTCTAAGAATATCATAATTTAGCCATCTTACTGTCTAATTACAATTCTAATATTGGACATTTTAGTAGTGGACATTTGAGTTGCTTCAGTGTTTTGACTGTTATAAACACTATTAATTAGGACAAAAGTAATACATGTATTTTGATGTACAAGTGCGTAAATTTGACTAAGGTACGTCTAGGAGCAAAACTTCTGGGTGTGCATATCTTTATCAGACAAAGCCAAATTGGTTTCGAAAGGAATTGTACCTAGTCATAGTTTTTTTAAAAAAATTCAATAGTTTTAAACATGCTAGATTATTCAAACATAATCCTTCTTGCAGTTGGAAAGCTTCTATAAATGCCAATATTAGTATACATACAGTAATTTAACCTTAAAAATGAACATAAACTTCTGAATGTCTAAAAAGGTACATGTTCAATTAAAAAATTTAAAACTTGTAACAATAAATATTGTAGAAAAATTATTGGGTTACAAATTATCTAAAATATTTTATATAATTTTTAGAGTAAGTGAAATATAATCAGGTCATAATTTATTAAGACTAAGAGATAAAGACTAATATCATGATTATGAAATTAGAAATTATTATTGTATATTTCATTACAAAGGCAGTTGAACATTATAATGGTTGCAGGCAATCTGTACTATAACATTCTCCAACTGTAAATGACAAATTTCTTGTAATTTCATAAATGGATGTAAGAGTCTACTGTGATAAACATTTAATTCTTCCATTGTCTAAACTACTACATGTTACAAAGCTATTGTCAAAGCATCTAGAAATTTCCAAGTACAAGGAGAGGCTAATTATTTATTTAGACTACTTAGACACGAAAAAATCCTAAAAATTCAAAACTGTTTTTGAACATACTTTCATTTTTGGTCTTACTTTCTTCTCAGGCAATGAATGTGAAATATAAATGACTATGGGTGAGGAAAGGACAGAACCCAAAAGGAAGCAGGCTCTCACAGTGATTAATATGGAGCTTCCAAAGATGTCTGGCAGCAAAAAGAAGCAATAGCTTATGTAACTGATAACAAATTAGTCAGTAAGACCCTAATAATGTATCTCCCTGGAACCTGAGATAGTGTGTTTGATGAATTGTTTAAACCAGTCCGTATTCTTCTATTTGTTTAAACCAGGGAGACAAAAATATAGTAAAAAATAAATTACAGTTAACTTCTGTTATTCAAATTGGTTGAATGGATGGGTTGGTCAGTTAATGGAATATGCTAATTAACAGAATTATCAAACATACTGCCAATTAAAAATTAGAATATGTTTTTCATTAACAGAATGCTGAATATCAGTTCATTGTTCCTTAAGGATTCTAAAAGGATTTCTATATTTCAAGTTATTTTTATAAAAGCCATGACAACACTGAATAATTCTATTAATGTAGAAAGTGTGAGAGACTAGACTGAATTTCTGTCTCTCTTGTAACATACACTGGAAGCTATCTTGTTGGAGTTCACAAAGGCTGACTCACTACGTGGCCCTTATAATAGTAGAGTACCTAATGTAGAAAAAAAATTCTGGGTATTTGAGCTCTCGTTATTTGAATCTCTCTCTTTCTCTCTTTGCGGACGGGGTGGGGAGGGTGTTTCCAAATAATTATGAACTTATAATTGACCCAAACTTCTGTCAAATCCAAAACAGATTTCTCAGAGAGATATTCTTCTCACTGAACATTAATAAATATATTATAATATGTTAAACAGGGCTACAGGTAAAAAATGCTAAACTACGGTATGTTCAAAGATCACTTTGTGGCCAGGCGTGGTGGCTCACGCCTGTAATCCCAGCACTTTGGGAGGCTAAGGTGGGAGGATCACCAGGTCAGGAGATCAAGACCAGCCTGGCTAACATGGTGAAACTCTGTCTCTACTGAAAAAAAAACTAAAATTAGCTGGGCATGGTGATACGTGTGCCTGTAGTCCCACTACTCTGGAGGCTGGGGCAGGAGAATCGCTTGAACCCAGGAGGCGGAGGTTTCATTGAGCTGAGATTGCACCACTGCACTCCAGCCTGGCAACTGAGCGAGACTCCATCTCAAAAAAAAAAAAAAAAAAAAAAAAAAAGATTGCTTTGTTCAAACCAAAGCTTCACCACCCATGTCTTGAACTTCAGCTTCTCATCCAAGTAATTATAAAGGCTTCCTTTAGAAGAAAGATGGCTCTGAGCCTTGAAGAAAACATCCATGTCACTGGGTATGGTCTCCAGCCTCTTAGGGAAGGGACCTGACTATTCTAGATTCTAGTGGGTTTAGAAGGGGAACAAGGGCCCCTGAGAATTTGTGACTATAAAGTAACTGGTCATCACAGGAAGTCCCAAAAAGGTGAGATGTAGAGAAATCAAAGAAAGAAGGATAACAAGAAGACAGAAACTGTCATAAACAGATAATAATGTAACAGAGGGAAAAAAACCATCAACCTCAAAGTGAAACAAAGTGAAAATCATAATAGAACTATTATAATTAAAATCAGGTTTTCAGAATTAGGACCATGAATCTACTATAATTGCTCTTCACTTCCAGAATGCTAAACCTCAAAAAAACAATGCTGTCCTTTTAAACTTGTTTGGCCTCTCGTTACATTTGACACTATTCATTGCTTCCTCCCTACTGAGAATCCGAACTTCTTTAAGGATTTTACTTCCGCATCAGCCCTTCAAATGTTTGCTGTTCCTGGGATTTAATCTTCTTACTCTATTCATTCTTCTAGATGATCTGATGTACTCTCATGACTTCAGCTTTCATTTCTCCTCCAGCATTAATCTCCAGTATGCAACTGGCTGCTGAACATATATCTCCACCTAGATGTCCCAAGAATATCCTGAACTCAAATAATTAGAAACAAAACTTATCATCAGACGGGCACAGCGGCTCCTGCCTACAATCCCAGCACTTTAGGAGGCCAAGGCAGACGGCACACTTGAGGTCAGGAGTTTGAGACCAGCCTGGCTAACATGGTGAAACCCCATCTACTAAAATACAAAAATTAGCCCGGTGTGGTGGCGCATGCCTGTAATCTCAGCTACTTGGGAGGCTGAGGCAGGAGAATCACTTGAACCCAGGAGGTGGAGGTTGCAGAGAGCTGAGATCATGCCACTGCACTCCAGCCTGAAAGACAGAGGTAGACTTCATCTAAATAAATAAATAAATAAATAAATAAATAAAGGCCGGCGCGGTGGCTCACGCCTGTAATCCCAGCACTTTGGGAGGCTGAGGCAGGTGGATCACGAGGTCAGAAGATCAAGACCATCCTGGCTAACATGGTGAAACCCCATCTCTACTAAAATATACAAAAAGTTAGCCGGGCATGGTGGCAGGAGCCTGTAGTCCCAGCTACTGGGAAGGCTGAGGCAGGAGAATGGAGTGAACAGGGGAGGCGGAGCTTGCAGTGAGCCGAGATTGTGCCACTGCATTCCAGCCTGGGCGACAGAGTGAGACTCTGTCTCTAAAGAAAGAAAGAGAGAAAGAAAGAACTCATCATCATCAACTCCTAAACTTTTTCCTTCATTCAATCTCCATAGATATATTTGCTATCTGAACTCAAAATACAACATTCATCCAGTCTCCAAAGCCAGGAAACTAGATATGTCACCTTTGACTGCTCCTTTGCCAATCCATCCACAAAACCTAACAATTTTGCTCCCTGAATGTTTCTTAATTCTGCTTTTCTCTGGGTTCTCAACATCTCTCATTTAAACTGACATTTTCTTTTCCTTTTTATTATTATTATTTTTTTGAGACAGGGTCTCCTTCTATTGCCCAAGCTGGACTGCAGTGGTGCAATCAAGGCTTACTGCAGCCTTGACCTCCCAGGCTCAAGTGGTCCTCCCACTTCAGCCTCCCAGGTAGCTCACCACCACTACAGGTGCTCACCAACACACCCAGATACCTTTTGTGTGTGTGGTAGTGATGGTGTCTCATTATATTGCCTAGGCTGGTTTCAAATTCCTGGGCTCAAGTGATCCTCCTGCCTCAACCTCCCAAAGTGTTGGGATTACAGGTGTGAGCCACTGTGCCTGGCCATATTGATGTTTTCTACCTGGTCTCTCTGCTGCTGTCTGTTTCCTTTAATTCTGCCCTTTACACAGGTATGAAAAGATTTATCTAAAATGATCATATGACTGTATTATTCCCTTGCTCCAAAGTGATCAATGGTTCCTCATTAGCTCTAGAATAAAGCCTGCATTTTTGACACATTACAAAGTCTTCACAATTTCCCATCTTACCATTTTTACGTCATACCACTCCCCGTGTACAATTGCTATAGTAAACTGTGATTTCATATTGTTCCCTTTGTATGCTGTGCCCTATCATACTTCCATACATTTTCTCATATTGTGACTTTTGTCAATAATTCTTTACCCCCTCCCTTTCCCCTCTCACCTTCTCCAATCTCATTTCTGTCTTGACAAAGCTGCCACCTCCTCCAGAAAGTCTTTTCTGAAAGTTCTGGCAGAGCTTGGTTGGGTAATTCTCCTCTCTATTCTCTTAACCTGTGTATCACTTTCACTTAGCATACTGTAAGTTATTTAATGAGTATGTATTATTTTTGTCATCAGAAAAATAAAGACACATAAAAGAGAACAAAAATTATAAGTTCATGCCTACATTATCTGTGCCCCATCCTGGACTATGAAGTCTTTGAGAACACAAATTATAAATGATTCATCTTTATAACCCCACTTCCTAGCCCAGTACCTGAAAATTGATGCTCAATAAATGATCTGTCAAATGAAGGTAACTGACAGGAAAGAGGATATATAAAAATACATCACAGAAATGATAAAGGACTTCCTTGTCACAGTATAGTGGGTCTTAATGGTCCAGGTCCTGATATTTGGGCAGTTATACCGACTTCTTTAATTCCAGAGGATTCTAGTTAAAAATAACTCCAAATAAGCAATTTATCCTTTTCTAGCCAACAAAACTAATTCCATTGAGAAACTGTCGTATTTTTGACATCATATCTCTTACTTTATCACCTAACGTACATTTTAAAAAAGATATGCCATATGTAATCTCCATCAGATAAATGGGAAATAAGAAGGAAGAACAAAGCCAGTAGAAAGTAAAATAAACTTGGCAGCACTGTGCTATTTATCACACGGACCATTACTTACATGCAGCAGTAATACAGCAGCAAGAAAAGACTGCCCTTGACAGTACCCAATGTCTTCATCATACACAGAGTAGGCCTAGAGAAAAGATGAAAAGAAAGAAATATCGTAAATAGTCACAGATTTTAACTTAAATGTTAGCTCATACCAGGCTCCTGCTTGTTCCTGTCCCTGGGCTGTCAACCACAATTCCACTGGTCTTTCAACTTGAATCTGTATACCACTAGCACAGTGAGATCCCCAAAGAGGCTGTGTATTTCCTAAAGCAGCTCTATGTCCCTTTATCCCAGGTTCATCTTTAAAATTTTGAAATAAAGAGATGCTCAGAGGACCTAAGTTAATATTAAAAGATCTATTATGGTTTGAGATCAGCTGTATGAGGCCACAGGAGGCAGAGGCAAAGGGTGGGAGAGAGTAAGAAGATTCTAAGGTTGAAGTGTGGGTTCAAATGCACTAAAAGGGGGAAATCTTGATATTGCTGAGACAGAAGTGCAAATCCGCTATTCTGACAACCCCATGCCAAAAAAAAAAAAAAAAAAAACCCCTTTAGAACCTCCAAAACTTCTCAAAGACCTTTTAAACTACCCTGCCATTTTCCATGAAGGCTGAAGAGTAAAAATGGTTCTCCAATCTATACCACTGGGGCAAACCAGAAATATTTAGCATTGTCCCATGCTTTTTGCAAAATGGCTGACAGCCTCATGCTACATACATAACTGATATTTCAAGTGCTTTGGCTATTCCACAGCTTTAACGTCATTCTAACCAGGCCATCTGGAGTACAGCCAAAGAGGCCAATTCGTAAGAAATACAGCATTCCTTGGAAAGTAGCTATCATATCATTCAACTTAACATTCCCTCTTAGTTTTCAGAGCAAAGGAAATAAGGCCATAGGCTTAGTGTATACTAATTAGTACTTCAAACATCTAGGATTCTCTAATGCAAACAAAAAGACAACATGTTAGTTTTTGAGGCTGAATCAGTTACAGTAGGTAGAGTGTGCAGATCAAAGGGTAAAGAATAGGAGTTAGAAAGCTTTTTCTGTAAAAGTTTGGATAGTAAATATTGTAGACTTTGAGGAACACTTATAGTACTGGTTGCTTGTTTTTTCTTAAGGGACAGGACTTTTTTTTTTTTTTTAAACAACTTTTTAAAATGTAAAACCATTCTTACATTGGGGCAGTACAAAAATAGGCTTCATGGTCCAGTCACTGAACCCTGAATTAGAATTTTTTTAAAAATTTAGTTGTTGTGATGTATGTGTGTGTGTGTGTGTGTGTGTATATATATATATGTATGTATAGAGAGAGAGAGAGAGAGAGAGAGAGTTTTGCTTTGTCTCCCAGGCTGGAGTGCAATGGCACGATCTCAGCTCACTGCAACCTCCACCTCCCAGGTTCAAGCTATTTTCCTGCCTCAGCCCCCTGAGTAGCTGCAATTACAAGGGCCCACCACCACACCCAGCTAATTTTCATAGTTTTAGTAGAGACAGGGTTTCACCATGTTGGCCAGGCTGGTCTTGAACTGCTGACCTCAGGTGTTCCTCTCACCTCAGCCTCCCAAAGTGCTAGGATTACAGACATAATCCACCATGCCCGGCCTGCCAAATATATTTTTAAAAGACTCTCAAAGAATACTACTGAAATCCAGGATATGTATCTCATCCCATGTATTCCATCTATGTGTTGTACTTCATTTTAGTGAGGAGATTTCCATTTAATTTAATAGAATGTATTTTGATTTTGTCAGTATAAAAATTGTCTCTGTCTAGGACAAGGCTTATCAAAGATAACTAGGAAGGCTTAACCTATGGAGAGTAAGTGTAGTATTCCCCATGTGCCAAAGTTGTCAGAGCACAGAGTCTGGAACTCCCTTTTACTCAAAAACATAAACTTTATTGATGTATGGTTTATACTCAGTGAAAGGCATACATTTTAATTGTACAGTTCCTTGAGCTGGGGCATTTATGTAGCCCTGCCATTATAAATATTTCCATCACTCCAGAATGTTCCCCCATGCCTCTCTTTGGTCAAACACCTCCACTCCAGGCAACCACAGATCTGAATTTTATCACAATATATTAGTTTTTCATTTAAAAAAATTTCATATAGATGGAATCATACAATAATGTACTCATATAATACGTAGTCTTTTGTGTCTAGCTTCTTTTACTCAGCATAACGTTCCTGAGATTCTTTCATGTTGTTGTGTGCATCGGTAGTTCATTCCTTTTCATTGCTGAGTAGCATGAATATATACTGTATGAATATACCATGATCTGTTTATTCATTCCTCTGTTTCCAGCTTTCAGCTAGTATGAATAGAGCTGTAAATATATACACAGCGTTTGTGGATACAGATTTTCATTTTCCTTGAATAAATACCTAGGAATGGAGGTTCAAACTTCAAATGTTAAATGTAAGTTTATCTTTATAAGAAATTGCCAAATTGTTTCCCAAAGTGGTTATACAATTATTACACCCCTAGCAGCAACATATGAGAGCACCCCTTGCTTCACTTCCTTGTCAATACTTGATACTGTCAGTCTTTTTCCTTTTAATTAATTCCTGTAGTTTTGACTTTCATTTCCCTGGTGGCTAATGGTATAGAAAATGTTTTCATGTACTTTTAGACAATTGATACATATTCTTTTGTGATTGTTCAAGTTCCTGCCCAATTATGTGTTGCTGATTTTTGTTTTTTGTTTTTTTTGGAGGCAGGGTCTGGCTCTGACACCCAGGCTGGTGTGCGGTGGCATGATCACTACAGCCTCTGCCTCCCAGGCTGAAGCGATCGACCCACCTCAGCCTCCTGAGTAGCTGGGACTACAGGCTGCCCCACCACACCCAGCTAAGTTTTTTTCTATTTTTAGTAGGGATGGGGTTTTGCCATGTTGCCCAGGTCTGGAGCTCCTAGGCTCAAGTGATCCGCCCACCTCAGCCTTCCAAAGTGCTGGGATTACAGCCTGCCCAATTGTTTAATTGAGTTGTTCATCTCATTATTGTTGGTTCCTACGAGTTCTTCATTCTGTATATGCTCTGTATACAACTCTGTCTGAGTCCATTCTGGATGCTATAACCAGAATACCACAGACTAATTAGCTTATAAACAAAAGAAGTTTAGTTCTCACAGTTTTGGAGGCTACAAAATCCAAGATCAAGGCACCAACCAATTCAGTCTGATGAGGGTCGGTTTCCTGGTTCACAGAAATTGTGCCTTTTCATTGTCTCCTCACATAGTGGAAGGGGCAAACAAGATCCTTCCGGCCTCTTTTATTAAAGCACTAATCCAATTCATGAGGGCTCCGCCCTCATGATGCAATCACCTACCAAAGGCTCCATCTCTTAATAGTATCACCTTGGTGGTTAGCATTTCAACATATGAATTTTGAGGGGACACAAACAATGGGACCATTGCCAAGTCCACTGTCAGACATGCATATTACAAATATGTTTTCCCAGTCTATGGCTTGCATTTTCATTTTCTTAATGCTGTTTTTCAAAGAGCAAGTTTCAATTTTGAAAAAGTTCAGTTTAATAGTTTTTGTCTTTTATGGTTCATATTTGTGTTTGTACATGCCCTGTTTTTGTGTCATGAATATTTTTTCCCATGTTTTCTTTAGAAGTTTTTTTGTTTTGGCATTTACATTTAGGTCTGTAATCCACTTTGAAATAAGAAGTTTTAAAAACCTGGTAAGTCTATGTTCTACAACTTAGATCTTTTGCAAAAGAGTTTATTCTAGATTCCTTGCATTTCCATATAAATTTAGGAATTAATTTACTGTCTTCCCAGAAATGCCTACCGTGATTTTGACTGGGATTGTGTTGAATCTATAAGTAAATTTGGAGAATGGTATCTTCACAATATAGAGTCTAACAGTCATGAACCTGATATATCTCTCTCCATTTATTATTTCTTAGGATTTTCTACATGCATAACCATGTTGTTTGTGAATGTTAGTTTTACTTCCTTTGGCCATATGCCTTCTTTTCTTGCCCTACTGCACTGACTCCAGTACTATATTACACTGTATTCCAATACAATGGTGAATATAAGTGCTCAAAGAGGAAGGACATCTTTGTCTTCTTCCAGATCTTAGAAGTCAAACATTGTCTTTCACCATGAAGTATAATGTTAGCTACAGATTTTCCATAGATATCCTTCATTAGGTTTAGAAGTTTCTCTCTATTCTTACGTTGCTGAGCATGTTTTATCTTCTATGGGTACT
Organism: Homo sapiens; assembly: GCF_000001405.40. NCBI lineage: Eukaryota > Metazoa > Chordata > Mammalia > Primates > Hominidae > Homo > Homo sapiens. Next base: position 174,679,371 of record NC_000001.11, on the reverse strand, counting down.
GAATTTATAAAATGCCTTTCATGCGTCTATTGCAATTGAGAGACAGTGCTAGCTGGATTTCCTAGGCTGACTAAGAATCCCTAAGCCTAGCTGGGAAGGTGACTGCATCCACCTTTAAACACGGGGCTTGCAGCTTAGCTCACACCCGCACACCCGACCAATCAGGTAGTAAAGAGAGCTCACTAAAATGCTAATTAGGCAAAAACAGGAGGTAAAGAAATAGCCAATCATCTATCGCCTGAGAGAACAGGAGGAGGGACAATGATCGGGATATAAACCCAGGCATTTGAGCAGGCAATGGAAAGCCCCTTTGGGTCCCCTCCCACTTCATGGGAGCTCTGTTTTCACTCTCTTAAATCTTGCAACTGCACACTCTTCTGGTCTGTGTTTGTTAGGGCTCAAGCTGAGCTTTCGCTTGCCATCCACCACTGCTGTTTGCCACTGTCGCACACCCACTGCTGACTTCCATCCCTCCGGATAGGGCAGGTGTCTGCTGTGCTCCTGATCCAGTGAGGTGGCGCCCACTGCCGCTCCCAATTGGGCTAGAGGCTCGCCATTGTTCCTGTGCAGGCTAAGTGCCTGGGGTTCATTCTAATGGAGCTGAATAGAGCTATAACAATCACCACATGGCCCAAAATTCCATTTCTTGGAAGCCGTGAGGCCAAGAACCCCAGGTCAGAGAACAAGAGGCTTGCCACCATCTTGGAAGCAGCCCGCCACCATCTTGGGAACTCTAAGAACAAATACCCACCAGTAACATAATGATCATATTACTTTCTCTTTATTCGGTTAATGTGGTTAAAATATATCGATTTTCAAATGCTGGACCAACCTTGTATATATGGGTCAAGAGTTATTATCCTTTATATTACCGTATTAAGTTTGTTACTCTTTTTTTTTTGTTTTGTTTTGTGGGGGTTTTTTGAGAATATTTTATGAGGAATACTGGTCTGTAACTTCTTTGGTAATGCCTGACACATTTTGGTATAGGGTTATGCTGGCCTTATAAAACAAGTGTGTCAGTGTTCTCTGTCACTCTGCTTCTGAAAGAGTTTTGCGTAAGACTGGTATTAATTCTTCTTTAACCATCTGGGCCTAGAGTATTCTCCTTGGAAAGGTTTTTATTATGAATTAAATTTCTTTAGTGGAAATAGAGCTATCCGTATTTTCATTTTCTTTTTGTTTCAATTTAAATAATTTGTGTTTTTCAAAAAATGCTCTTTTGTATGTAAATTGTTAAGGTTACTGACATAAATTCGTTCATAATAGTCCCTAATTGACTTTTTAATATCTGTATATGATTTATCCTCTTTCATACATAAAAGTTTAAACTTATATTTTCTCTTTTCCTTGATTAGTCTTGGTAAGGATTTATTAATTTTATTAATCTTTTCAAAGATCTGGCTTTTGGTTTTATCTTTTTCTTTTTTAAATACATTTTCTATTTCATTTATTTCTGTTCTTTATTATTTATTTCCATCTATTTATCTAGGTTTTAATTTGCTCTTCATTTTCTAGCTTGTTAAGATAGAAACTTAGATCTATCTTCTTTTCTAATATAGGCATTTAAAGCTATAAACTTGCCAGTAATTTCTTGATACCTTTTAAAGATACTGATAATGGTGCCAATCCTTGCCAACTGTCATCATCCCCAAATATGATAGGTGAGTGGGGTGGTATATACCCAGCTCTCTGTCAACCCAATAGAGTTCAGCACAATAGTTTCTGTGAAGATCTAGGCAATTCCAACTCCAAGGCTATAGCCTCAGAAAAATTTGGGGTTATGCTACCAAGGCAAAGGTTCGAAACTAGGACCACTGTGGAACAACCTTAGCCATAAGAAATGAAGTGGGGTACATGGCAAAAGCAGGTCTACCCCAGCTTCCTTTTTAGGTCTCTTTCTTCAGATGAAATTAACTAGATAATTCACAAATGCCTCCAGTAATTTGTAACAGAGGTGTTATGCTATACATACACTCAAATGTTAGGCCTAATTAATCCTTGAGTTGTTATCAATGGTTTATTATAAGTTCTAAAAGCAAATGAATATGTATCTTCCCTGATTCTTGTTTGTTTGTTTTGAGACAGGTCTCCCTCTGTCGGCTCACTGAAGCCTCCACCTCCCAGGCTCAAAAGATTCTCCCACCTTAGCCTCCCAAATAGCTGGGGCTACAGGCACATGCCACCATGCACGGATAATTTTTTTTTTTTTGGTAGAGATGGGGTCTCACTATGTTGCCTAGACTGGTCTCAAATTCCTGAATTCAAGTGTTCCTTCTGCCTCAGCCATCCAGAGTGCTTGGATTACACGCATGAGCCACCCCATCTGGCCACTTCCCTGATACTTATGCCGTAAGTGGGACAAATGTGGAAACAAATATTAAAATCTTGATGTTCTATCCATTTGTCCAACTTTAACATAAACCATCTACAGATGACTCCTTTAGAAAATGATATCCCTGGGGTTTAAGCTATCATAAATTTTTTGAATCCAGTATCTGTTCAAATTATGAGAGGAAAGAGGAAGGAAGGAAGGAAAAATTCTATTTTATGTAACATAAAAAAGAAAATCAGATTAGTATAGATACCACCATATCTATTAATCTATTACACCAGTTCAATTAATCAAACCATATGATGGCTGAAGCTAACAGTATCCAAAGATGTTGGAATACTACTGACCATGCTATCACTTCAGTAGAAGCAGTCACCAAAATATAAACTTTCATTGGAAAATAGATACATTTCTTCATTCATACACAAAGTACGTGCTTCTCAAATAATCCTTTTATATTTTAAAATCAGGAATCTTTTCACTTAGAAGTTGAAACTCCAAACGTTAAAATATTTGATCGGCTGCTTCAATCCAGGGAAAACTTCAGTTTGCTTTGTTTTTGCTTTGTCACAAAAACTATTTAAAATCTCTATGGAAGAACATTTTCTAATACTCACAAACTGAATCAGTAACCTAGTGAATTCTACAGTAACAGTTTCATCTGACATTTTACTACCAGGAGAAGCCTCTCAAAATCTGTAATGAAAAAACTGAAACAGTAAATCTAGTATGAATTCCCTAATATTTAAAAGGGCCATCTTCATCAACTACACTCAGCAAATCTATTCAAAAGCCTTCTTAGAATAATATATGTAGTCTCAACAATATACAGGTCTATAGAAGCTTCTGTTTTGTCAACTAAAATCAGAACTTCCACAGGATAACTAAAATATTTTATGGATAAGGTCATCAGTTAATACCCCATGCCCTAAATTACTTTTCAGGCTGCAGTCACTACTCCCAGGCCATCCATTACAGATATGTGGTAAATCAAGGTAGTATTTGTGTAAGTACCTGCTTCAAAGCTGCTTTTTCTTTCTTTTACTTCAAAAAAAAAACCCTCAGTTTTACTTGCAGGTACCTCTGTTATCACCACTGTGCTAGCAAGGTTTTTGTTACATATGAATAAGAATACAAATCTGGCTATTAAAATTTCACAAAAGGATAATGACAATATGCTTCTTTCAAAAACGTTTCTTGTTTCAGCCAAAAGCTTCTATTAGGAGAAGCATGAGAGCTACAGGGGCTTTTAAGTACCACTATGTTTGGGTTATAATTCAGCACGTGGCCTGAATCACATAGATTCCATGACATCTAAGAACCAGGTAATGGCAATGCAGTCTTTCAGCTATTAAAAACCCAAGGTAATTTATAGATTCAATGCCATCCCCATCAAGCTACCAATGACTTTCTTCACAGAATTGGAAAAAACTACTTTAAAGTTCATATGGAACCAAAAAAGAGCCCGCATCGCCAAGTCAATCCTAAGCCAAAAGAACAAAGCTGGAGGCATCACGCTACCTGACTTCAAACTATACTACAAGGCTACAGTAACCAAAACAGCATGGTACTGGTACCAAAACAGAGATATAGATCAATGGAACAGAACAGAGCCCTCAGAAATAACGCCACATATCTACAACTATCTGATCTTTGACAAATCTGAGAAAAACAAGCAATGGGGAAAGGATTCCCTATTTAATAAATGGTGCTGGGAAAACTGGCTAGCCATATGCAGAAAGCTGAAACTGGATCCCTTCCTTACACCTTATACAAAAATTAATTCAAGATGGATTAAAGACTTAAATGTTAGACCTAAAACCATAAAAACCCTAGAAGAAAACCTAGGCATTACCATTCAGGTCATAGGCATGGGCAAAGACTTCATGTCTAAAACACCAAAAGCAATGGCAACAAAAGCCAAAATTGACAAATGGGATCTAATTAAACTAAAGAGCTTCTGCACAGCAAAAGAAACTACCATCAGAGTGAACAGGCAACCTACAAAATGGGAGAAAATTTTTGCAACCTACTCATCTGACAAAGGGCTAATATCCAGAATCTACAATGAACTCAAACAAATTTACAAGTAAAAAACAAACAACCCCATCAAAAAGTGGGTGAAGGACATGAACAGACACTTCTCAAAAGAAGACATTTATGCAGCCAACAGACACATGAAAACATGCTCATCATCACTGGCCATCAGAGAAATGCAAATCAAAACCACAATGAGATACCATCTCAAACCAGTTAGAATGGCGATCATTAAAAAGTTAGGAAACAACAGGTGCTGGAGAGGATGTGGAGAAATAGGAACACTTTTACACTGTTGGTGGGACTGTAAACTAGTTCAACCATTGTGGAAGTCAGTGTGGCGATTCCTCAGGGATCTAGAACTAGAAATACCATTTGACCCAGCCATCCCATTACTGGGTATATACCCAAATGACTATAAATCATGCTGCTATAAAGACACGTGCACACGTATGTTTATTGCGGCACTATTCACAATAGCAAAGACTTGGAACCAACCCAAATGTCCAATAATGATAGACTGGATTAAGAAAATGTGGCACATATACACCATGGAATACTATGCAGCCATAAAAAATGATGAGTTCATGCCCTTTGTAGGGACATGGATGAAATTGGAAATCATCATTCTCAGTAAACTATCGCAAGGACAAAAAACCAAACACCACATGTTCCACTCATAGATGGGAATTGAACAATGAGAACACATGGACACAGGAAGGGGAACATCACACTCTGGGGACTGTTGTGGGGTGGGGGGAGGGGGGAAGGATAGCATTAGGAGATACACCTAATGCTAAATGACGAGTTAATGGGTGCAGCACACCAGCATGGCACATGTATACATATGTAACTAACCTGTACATTGTGCACATGTACCCTAAAACTTAAAGTATAATAATAATTTTAAAAAAAGAAAAAAAAAAGAAAAAAAAAAACTCTGAACACTCAAAAACAATTTATTTTATTACAAATCATGTTTATGGAGGTATAATTTATATGCAGTAAAAGTCATCCTTTGCTCATTTTCCTTGAGGAAGACATACTATGGGATTTATTGATGACAAATACTTCTACATTCTTTAAATATTATCTCTGTGTGAAGCTAAATAATGAGGTAGCAAAGTACCATATTCCACAGAACTATCTTTATTGAGTTAGCATTTGACATTACATATTCAGCCTTTCAGACTTCAGCATGCTCAACTCTAGAACCCCAGTCCATATAAGAATTTTGATTTAGGTACCACATATGCATCTTTTATAAAAGCACAATGAAGTCACTGTCTACAATATTACTCCAAATTCCCATACCTAGTATAACCATGTATCTCTGGTTATGTTTTTCCAATTCTATGCCTGAAAAATAAAAAAAATTGTGACCTTATTTTTTAAAAAGAATGCATTAAGAAGAGAAATATGTAATTTAGCATTTTCTTTTTGCTTTCATTAGCAGAAATTAATAATCAAATTCGTTACTCAACTGTAGAAAATAGCTCATCTCAGGTACCTGATAGCATCTTGGTCACTGCGTTTATCTATTTTTACATGTGTTTTAATTTTGTAAACTCTTTCAGATCTTTTAGTAAATAGAAAGGCAATCACTCAGTCTAAAAAAAAATCATATTATGGTCCATTGTTCTCCTTTAACTTTTTCTGCTAATGATATTATCACTCTCTGTTCAAATGAGAGAAAAATTAGATCATGGGAATCGTTATCTAATGAATGTGAAATGACCTTTTCTTCATTATCATCAGTTTCCAGACCTCTGCCTAATCTTGAAAGATCAATTAGTATCCTTTTACTTATTTAATTTTATTTAATTTATATAGTTATATTTGATTGCTTAATTTGTACTTTTATCTAGAGCTATGGGTGTATGTGAGCTCATGGATGTGGAGGAAAGGGAACCCTCATACACTCTTATGTGTGTATGTATTAGGGGTTGGAAGTAGGATAAAGAGAGAATACAGAAAGAAAAAAGGAAAGAAATTATGGAAAAGTTCGAATCCTATCCCTATTTGGAATATTCCTGAATACAGTAGCCTGTATGTTCCTTTTCCATGAACTAGGAACTCTGAGATTTGTTCATGACAAAGCATGTTACATGAATGATAAGTATATTCTCAAGGCTTCCCCTTTCCCATGAAAGATGTCTAAGTGCAGGATTCCTTAAAACTGTAAATCTCCAACCGTAGTATAAAACTAGAAATCAGTAACAGGAGGAACGTTTAAAAATTCACATGTACATGGAAATTAAACAGCATGCTCCTGAACAATCAATAAGTCAATGAAAAAATTATAAATAAAATTTAAAATTTTTTTGAGAAAAATGAAAATGAAAATACAACATACCAAAACCTATGGGATGCAGCAAAAGCAGTTTGAGAGGGAAAATTACAGCAATAAATGCCTACAAAGAAGACAGGTTGCAAATAAAAAACCTAATCTTGGATCTCAAAGAATTAGAAAAACAAAGACAAACTCAGCCCAAAATTAGCAGAAGAAAGAAAATAAAGATCAGACCAAAAATAAATGGAATGGAAAGTAAAAACAAAACAAAACAAACAAAAACCTGTAATCCCAGCTACTCAGGAGGCTGAGGCAGGAGAATCGCTTGAACCCGGGAGGCAGAGGTTGCAGTGAGCAGAGATTGAGCCACTGCACTCCAGCCTGGGTGACAAAGGGAGACTCCATATCAAAAAAAAAAAAAAAAAGAAAGGAAAAAAAAAATCAATGAAATGAGTTGTTCATTTGAAAACATAAAATAAACACCTAGACTAAGAAAAAGTGAGAGAAGACTCAAAATCAGAGATAAAAAAGGAGACATTACAACTGATACTACAGAAATTAAAGGATCATAAGAAATTATTATGAACAATTATATGCCAACGAATTAGATAACTTAGAATGGATAAATCTGTGTACATATGCAACTGATCAAGGATGAAATATTACTGATTCAGTCTCCTTACTCATCTATTTCTTCATGTAGATGAGTAAGGAGACGACTGAATCAGTAATAAAAAGTCTCCTATCAACAAAAAGCCAGATAGTTAAAAAACTACCAAATATTTAAAAATATAGCTGAATTCTACCAAATATTTAAAACACTAACACCAATTCTTCTCAAACTCTTCCAAATAATTGAAGAGGAAGAATTACTTCCAAACTCATTCTGCTAGACCAGCATTACTCTGATACCAAAACCAGACAAAGGTACAACAAAAAAAGAAAACTACAGGCCAACATCTATGATGAACATACATGCAAATATCCTCAACAAAATACTAATAAGCCAAATAGAACACCACATCGAAAAGATCATCAACCACAATCAAGTAATTAATCCCAGGGATGCAAGGATGATTCACTATATGTAAATCAATAAATGTGATACATCACATTAGAAGAAGAAATGATAAAAGTCAAAGTCATTTCAATAAATGCATTAAAATCATTTGACAAAATTCCACATCACTTCATGATTTAAAACTCTCAAATTAGATGTAAAAGAAATGTACCTCAAAACAGTAATGGCCATATATGACAAACCCATAGCTAACATCATGCTGAATGAGGAAAAGCTGAACTGGAACAAGATATGGATGTCCATTCTCACTTCTATTCAACACAGTACTGGAAGTCTTAGCCAGAGAAATTTGGCAAAAGAAAGAAATAAAAGGCATCCAAATTGGAAAGGAAGAAACCGAATTGTCCCTGTCTGCAGTTGACATCATTTTATATATGGAAAACCCTAAAGACTGTACCAAAAATCTTAGAACTAATAAATGAATTTAGTAAAGTTGCAGAATACAAAATCAACTTATAAAAGTGTGTTAGTAGCATTTCTATGCACTAACGGTGAACTATTTGAAAAAAGAATCATGAAAACAATTCCATTTAAAACATCTACAGGTTTATATCTGAAAGACAGGCAATAACAAATGCTGGCAAGAATGTGGAGAAAAGGGTACCTTTATACACTGTTGGTGGGAACGTAAATTAGTACAACCACTATGGAGAACTGTTTGGAGGCTCCTCAAAACACTAAAAATGGAACTACCATATGATCCAGCAATCCCATTGCTAGGTATAACCAAAAGAAAGGAAATGAGTATATTGAAGAGATATCTGCACTACCATGTTTGTTATAGCACTGTTCATATTAGCCAAGACTTGGAAGCAACACAGAGTCCATCAACAGATGAATGGAAAAAGAATATGTGGTACACATAAACAATGGAGTACTATTCAGCCTTAAAAAATATCCTATCAATTGCAACAACATGGATGGAACTGGAGATCATTATGTTAAGTGAAATAAGCCAGGCACAGAAAGACAAACATCACATTTTCTCACTTATTTGTGATATCTAAAAATCAAAACAACTGAATTCATGGACATACAGAATAGAAGGATGGTTACCAGAGGCTGAAAAGGGTAGTTGTTGGGAGAATGCAGAGAAAAGGTGGGGATGATTAATCGGAAAAAAAGAAGAAAGAATGAGTAAGACCTACTATTTGATAGCATAACAGGGTGACTATAGTTAATAATAACTTAACTGTACATTTTAAAATAACTAAAAGGGTGTAATTGGATTGTTTACAACACAAAGTATAAATGCTTCTGAGCATGAATACCCCATTCTCCATGATGTGATTATTTCATATTGCATGCCCACATCAAAACATCTCATGTATCCCATAAATATATACACCCACTATGTACCCACAAAATTTAAAAATAAAAAATAAAAAATAAAGTAGCTATAAAAACATTTAGGAATAAATTTAACCAAGGAAGTGAAAGATCTGTATATTAAAAACTGTAATATATTGATGAAATAAATTGAAGACACAAATAAATGGAAAGATATCCCATGTTCATGGACTGAAAAAATTAATATTGTTAAAATGCCCATATAGTCCAAAGTGACCCATGTATTCAATGGAATCCCCATAAAAATACCAATGACATTATTTACAAAAATAGAAAAATAAATCTTTAAGATTTATATTGAACCACAAAAGACCTTGAATAGCCAAAACAATCTTCAGCAAAAAGAACAAAGCTGGAAGCATCACATGACTTGGCTTCAAAATACACTACAAAGCTATAGTAACCCAAACAGCATGGGATTGGCATAAAAACAGAAAGCTAGACCCAAGAAACAGAATAGAGGGCCTGGAAATAAATTCACACATTTACAGCCAACTGATTTTCAACAAAGGTACTAAGAACATACAATGTGGAAAGAACAGTCTCTTCAATACATGGTTCTGAGAAGACTGCATATCCACATGCAGAATAATAAAGCTAGACCCTTATCTCTCACCATTTGCAAAAATAAACTCTAAATGGATTAAAGATGTTAAGACTTGAAACTATGAAACTACCAGAAGAAAATAAAGAGAAAACGCTCAAGGACATTGGTCTGGGCAATGATTTTTTGGATATGACTTCAAAGGCACAGACAACAAAAGTAAAAATAGACAAATGTGATTGCATCAAACTAAAAAGCTTCTGCATAGCAAAGAAAACAACCAACAGAGTGAAGAGACAACCTACAAAATGGGATAAATTATTTGCAAACTATACATCTAATATGATTTGGCTGTGTCCCCACCTAAAATCTCATCTTGAATTGCAATCCCCAAAATCCCCACGTGCCAAGGGAGAGACCAGGTGAAGGTAACTGAATCAGGGAAGCGGTTTCCCCCATGCTTTTCTCATGATAGTGAGTGAGTTCTCATGAGAACTGATAGTTTTATAAGTGTTTGGTAGTTCCTCCTGCATTCATTCTCCTTCTTGCCGCCCTGTGAAGAAGGTGCCTTGCTTCCCCTTTGCCTTCCACCATGACTGTAAATTTCCTGACACCTCCCCACCATGCTGAACTGTGAGTCAATTAAACCTCTTTCCTTTATAAATTACCCAGTCTCAGGCAGTTCTTTATAGCAGTGTGAAAACGAACTAATAAAACATCTGATGAGGGGTTAACAATGAAAATTATATGAGGAACTCAAATCAATAGCAAGAAAACAAACAACCCAATTTAAAATGAGCAAAAGATGTGAATAGACATGCCTTAAAAGAAGACGTACAAATGGCCAACAGGAATATGAAAAAATGTGTCACTAATTGTCCTGGAAATGCAAATCAAAACCACAATGAGATATCACCTAACTCCTGTTAGAATAGCTATTATCAAAAGACAAAAGATAACAACTGTTGGCAAGAATGTGGAGAAAAAGAAACCCTTGCACGTTGTTGGTGGGAACGTAAATTAGTAAAACCATATTCAAAACAGTATGAATGTTCCTCAAAAAATTAAAATTCGAACTACCATATGATCCAACAATCCCACTACTGGGTATATATACAAAAGAAATTAAATCAATATACTAAAGAGAGAGCTGCACTCCCATGTTTATTATAACACTATTCCCAATAGCCAAGATACAGAATCAACCTAAGAGTCTAACAGCAGATCAATGGATAAAGAAAATGTGGTGTATATATATACAATGGAATACTACTCAGCCATAAAAAAGACAATCCTGTCATTTTCAACAACATGGATGAAACTAAAAGATATTACATTAAGGGAAGTATGCCAGGCATAGAAAAACAAATACCACATGATCTTACTCATATGCAGACCCTAAAAAAAAGTTGACCTCATTGAATTAGAAAGTAGAATGGTGGTCACCAGAGGCTGTGGTGGTCAGGAGGAAGGGAGTGCTGAGATGTTGGTCAAAGGATACATAATTATAGTTAGATAGGTGGAATAAGCTAACAGGTCTACTGTACAGCATGATGCCTACAATTAATGGCAATATAGTATATTCTCACAAAATGCTAATTCTAGAATCTAGGTGGCAGGTTTTTGGATGTTTACCTTGTAATTCTTTCAATTATTTTGTATATTTGAAAATTTTCATAATAACAGTTTTGGGGAAAAAAATCTTTGGTTGTACCCAGTCCCTCCTCCTGCTCTGGACTACAGACTACTTTTCTGCCTGTGCTCCCAAGAGTAATATACCTTCACTCAGCAATTGAGTATTTACTGAGCACCTATCGTATATCAAACACTGTGCTTAGTAAGGCATATACAAAGTTGAAAAGACATAGTCCATGCTCCCCAGCATTTAGCCCTGTGGAGGAGGTCAACATGTACAATGAAATAGTGCACAGTGAGAGATATATAGAAGATACATGGAAGCTCAGAGAGAAAGAGTAAATAACCAGGTCATAGCACAGGAAATAGAGTTAAAGGCAAGGAAGGCATCACAGACAAGGTGATGTTGTCTTAATTTCATAGAAGATGGCATGACCAGAAGTGCTGCAAACTTGACCACCTGTTTTTGAAGGAAGACTATAGAAATTATTCAGGCATGCTGCAGAAAAAAGGGCATGTACAAAGGCATGAAAGAACTTGACATATTTATTATGTGCCAGATGGAATGCTAAGTTCTTTTCTATGTTCTCATTTAATCTCACAAGTCCTATGAGATGCAAATAGGTTTAGGGAAGGTACCTAACTTGGGCAAGGTCATATAGCTAATAAATGGTAGAATCACCATTTGAACCCAAGTCTGTTCCAACATAAAGCCCATACCCTTATTACCTTCATTATATCACTTAGATTCTCTCTCTGTTGAATTATGCTTCTTAGATATTTGTGTTTGTGTCCATGGAGATGGGGGTACCTATGTTCTGATTTGCCTTGGGTTTCAATAGAGATGGAGGATATCCTATCCTCAAAAGGAAAAATAACAATCTGATCAAGGGAGGCTTAATCCTTTTCATTTTCTGTCTTCTGGGCTTAGAAAGGAGGACTTTTAATTTCATTATGTAACATATTAATTATCATGCTGACCACAGGATAAAACTTAGGAAACACAGAGAGTTGATAGGCTTAATATTTCTGGTGCTAACATTTATACATAATGTAAGTTCTCCTTAATAAAATAAATATGGAAAATACTTGACTTTTTTTTTTTTTTTTTGCCTTGTAACTGTTATCCATTGATAGGAATGCTAACATTGAAAATAAATTTTCACAGGGCAGTAGGAGTTTCTTGGTTAACCTGAAATACACAATGACTACTACTGCTCTTGACCTACCTTAAAATTATTAAAGAAAGTTTTTAGTTTTCCAACTAGATTATACCCATTTATTTACAATTCTCTTTTCTCCAAAATGCTCCCTCACACACAAACCTTACCTGGGTTGCTATAAGAAATACAGGATGGTATTTCTCTTTTGTCCCAGGAATGGGCAACATGCAGTACTATTTGATAAGATAAGCACATTTATAGGTAAAAAGGAAAGCTCAGACTCACAGAAAGAATGAAAAGGGAAATCAAAGGATGTTCTCTAACAAGATAAAGAGGCTGCCATGTGAGAGTGCAACAATGGGTCAAACTTCTAAAATATTCCCATTTAGCTTCTTGGTACTGCTAACATACTGACATATTTGCCAGTTTACTTGCTATTGATAAACAGTGGCAAAGTTCATCAGTTTTAACTCTGACACATGTTTCTCCAATTTCTAATGTAAATATTGAACTGTCACGATTTTTTCAGTACAGATTGAATAGCAACGCTGAGAAGAGACAACACTAACACAGACCTCCTTTTTACTTAAACAGGAGCTTGATATTTACGTAATAGCAATTTGCCATTTATTAGACAAACTGTTTCATCTATAACCTACAAAGAACTTCTACCAACATGAGGCTAAAACACATAAATTAGCCTTTGGATTATCATTTTTGGCAGCAGTAGCCCTTAAATGAGTATGTCAGGGGAACAACCAAGTAAAAAATATGTGGAATAAATTTATTTGCAAACTAAGAAGAGATCTGTTCTCACATAAGCTGGGAGACACAAAGAGATACCAAGGAAAGCCTAATTTTCAGTAGTCCCACAATTAGCTGAATAAAAAGAGGTCACAGAGTGACAAAAATCATGATACTAGTTGTTTAAAAGAAATTACAGAAACATTTAAAGAAAGATTACTTAATATAGTACGCAAGAATACAAGTGGCTTTCAAAGAATTCTTTGCATTAATTTCTCTACCTGTTAAATAACTAACATTTATTTATTAGTTACTACTACTCTACTGTTCCATTTATTTACATATATTAATTTATTTAATAATTGTAACACCCCTCTGGGAGTAAGTACTCTTATTATCCTCAATTTTATAGATAAAGAAGCTAAGGCTGGGCACAGTGGCTCACGCCAGTAATCCCAGCACTTTGGGAGGCCAAGGCAGGCGGATCACCTGAGGTCAGGAGTTCAAGACCAGCCTGGCCAAACATGGCCAACATGGTAAAACTCCGTCTCTACTAAAAATACAAAATTAGCTGGGCACAGTGGTGCACGCCTATAATCCCAGCTACTTGGGAGGCTAAGGCAGGAGAATTGCTTGAATCCAGGAGGCAGAGGTTACGGTGAGCTGAGATCATGCCACTGCACTCCAGCATGGGCAACAGAGCAAGAGGAAAGAAAGGAAAGGAAAGAGGCAAGGCGAGGCGGGGCGGGGCGGGGCGGGGCGAGGCGAGGCAGACAAGAAAGGAAAAGAAAAGAAAGAAAGAAAGGAAAGGAAAAGAAAAGGAAGAAGGAAAGGAAAAGAAGGAAGGAAGGAAGGCAGGCAGGCAGGCAGGCAGACTAAGGCACTAAAAAATTAAATAATTTATTCAAGGTAGGTTAAATAATTTGTTCCAGTTAGAATGCAGCAGAGCTAGAATTCAAACTCTGGCAGTCCAGCTCCAGAGCCCAGGCACTTAGCCACTGTCACTATTTGGTCTCTGGATCTCATGACATTCAGGTGAGTGACTATAAAACCTAACTATAAAATGCCAATTCTTCTTTTTAATCTGCATTTCATGACTATTCATAAACCAATCAGAAAAATGACTTTAAAGAATGTAGAGAAATAACCATCGTCGGCTGGGCAGTGGCTCATGCCTGTAATCCCAGCACTTTGGGAAGCTGAGGCGAACGGATCACCTGAGGTCGGGAGGTTGAGACCAGCCTGACCAACATGGAGAAACCCTGTCTCTACTAAAAATACAAAATTAGCCAGGTGTGGTGGCACATGCCTGTAATCCCAGCTACTTGGGAGGCTGAGGCAGGAGAAACGCTTGAACCCGGGAGGCAGAGGTTGCGGTGAGCCAAGATCACACCATTGCACTCCAGCCTGGGCAACAAGAGTGAAAACTCTGTCAAAAAAAAAAAAAAAAAAAAAGAAAGCAGAAAGAAAGAAAGAAAGAGAGAGAGAGAGAAAGAACCATAATCACAAAATTCACTAGAGTGTTTTACTCTGGTAGGGAAAGACTAGATCTAAGAGGAGCACCTGGAAGGTATTAAAAAATATTGGTAATATTTCCTAAGTTGTAGGTTCAAGGATGTTACTTCTGTTACTTTTTCAAATAATACATTATTTTTATTCATTTGAATGTATATTACACAATTTAAAAAATTAGTTAAAATATTTTGAAAATTACTCACTAGTAATCATCCATTCAATGGTTTGTGTTAAGATTTCAATTTGGGTGATTTCTCCAGAATATAAATATATTGAAGACACATCTCAAGGCTTCATTGGAGGTTAATGTAAGATTCAAATAGTGAAGTAGTTAACAAATGACAACTATTCTTCTTGGGGATAATTGTACAAAGTACACAAATTGTGCAAACTGTGTACAAATATATATAGTCAATTGTCATCATTCTTAATACTTATGTTCTATAAAGGTGCCCCAACACTGAATAAGCAAACACTGAATTACTACACCTAGGGGATAATAGACGGCTAGGCTCCTGAGAACCCCTGGTCACAACATTTTCAGCAACTAATCAATACACAAAGTTGTTTTAAGTGTATTTCTGTTTAAAGATACCTTATTTAATATATATTGTTGTTTCATTAATATTGAACTCATGGCCAACATTACTGTAATTCATGCCTCAATGAAGCTTACGTAATGTGTATTTTTTTTGCAAGGCACATCACAGCCTCTGAGTCCCTAGAAACACTAGACAGCATTTCAGCACTGCACCTAGGGAACATTTCAAACAGAAAAATCATCAAGAAGCACAAAAATGCAAAACACATGACAATAAGTATATAGCAGGAGAATACTTGTTTACAGTATGAGAGATGAAATAAGAAGGCAGAGCATCAACTTGTTCCACCTGAACTTGAAATGTGTGCATCAGGTGACTCAAATTTTTTGACACTGCATATTCACATATCAGTGAATAACCATAAAAGTATTGAGAATATTGATTTTGTGGTTACAAATAAATTTAAGCAAGTAGGTGAATTTGCAAATACAGAATCTGTAAATAATGAGGATCAACCACGTGTGTGTATGTGAGTATATATACATATATGCACAGGCATTCCCCTTCCTTAACGACAGGAATACGTTCTAAGAAACATGTCATTAGGCAATTTTGTTGTTGTGCAAACATCATAGAGAGTACTTACATAAACTCAGGTGATACAGCTTATTACACATGTAGGCTATATGGTATAGCTCGTTGCTTCTCAGCTACAAACTTGTACAGCATGTTACAGTATATACTATTTAGTCTTATGGACTGAATAGTAGGCAATTCTTTACTGGGCTGCTACAAGAAACCATGTATGTGCTATAGTTTTATACAACAGTATGATAATTATTTGAGTGTCTAAACATAGAAACGGTACAGTAAAAATGTGGTATGAAAGATTAAAAATGGCACACCTGTATAGGGCACTTACTGAGAATGCAGCTGGCAGGACTGGAAGTTGCTCTGGGTGAGTCAGTGAGTGAGAGGTGGGTGAATGTGAAGGTCTGGAACATTACTGTACACTAATGCAGCCTTTATAAATACTGTACGCTTAGGCTACAATAAATTTATTTTAAAATATTTTTCTTCAATGACAAAATCTTAGCTTACTGTAACTTTATTTTTAATTTTTAAAACCTGTTAACTTTTGTAATAATACTTTGCTTAAAACTACATTGTACAGCTATACAGAAATATTTTAATATTTTCTTTCTTTATATCCTTGTTCTATAACATTTTTCTACTTAAAATTTTTTCATTTATTTGTTTTTACTTTTTAAGCTGTTTTATTTAAAATGAAGACACAAACACCCACATTAGGCTAGGCCTATACAGGGTCGGAATCATCAATATCACCATCTTCCACCTTCACATCTTGTCCCACTGAAGGTCTTCAGGGACAAAAATATGCATGGAGATGTTATCTCCAGTGGTAAAAATGCCTTCTTGGCCGGGCACAGTGGCTAATGCCTGTAATCCCAGCACTTTGGGAGGCCAAGGCAGGCAGATCATTTGAGGTCAGGAGTTCGAGACCAGCCTGGCCAACATGGTGAAACCCCATCTCTACTAAAAATACAAAAATTAGCCAGGTGTGGTGGTGGGAGGCTGAGGCAAGATAATCACTTGAGCCTGGGAGGTGGAGTTTTGCAGTGAGCCGAGATTGCGCCACTGCACTCCAGCCTGGGCGACAGAGTGCGACTCTGTTTCAAAAACAAACAAACAAACAAACAAACAACCAGGCCAGGCGCGGTGGCTCACGCCTGTAATCCCAGCATTTTGGGAGGCCAAGGCGGATGGATCACTTGAGGTCAGGAGTTCAAGATCAGCCTGACTAACATGGTGAAACCCCGTCTCTACTACAAATACAAAAATTAGTTGGGCGTGGTGGTACACATCTGTAATCCCAGCTACTTGGGAGGTTGAGGCAGGAAAATTGCATGAACCCAGGAGGCGGAGGTTGCAGTGAGCAGAGACTGCGACATTGCACTACAGCCTGGGCGACAGAGCCAGACTCCAACTCAAAAAAAAAAAAAAAAAAAGAAAAGAAAAGCCTTCTTCTGGATACCTCCTGAACGACCTACCTCAGGCTGTTTTATGGTTATTTTATAAGTAGAAGAAATACATCCTAAAATAATAATTAAAAAGCACAGTATAGTAAACACATAAACTAGTAATATAGTTGTTTACTATCCTTATCAAGTGTTATTTACTGTACATAATTGTATATGCTATATACCTTTATACACCTGGCAGCACAGTAGGTTTTATACCAGCATCAACACAAATAGGTGAGTAATGTGTTGCGCTATAATGTTATGATGCTATGATGTCACTGGGTGATAGGAGTTTTTCAGCTCCATTATAATCTTATGGGACCACCATTGTAAATGCAGTCCATTGTTGACTGAAATGTCGTTACAGGATGCATAATGGTATATCTTACTAGACACACACACACAGCCATATCCAAAACTAAACCAAAAGAGTTTATTGCTGCATTAGCCTATAAAAATCATAACAAAATATTTTTAATTAATAAAACTGAAATTGCTATTGATTATAATAATGAATTATTAGTTTTAGGAAGGCCCACAAGCATTGGAAAAATTAAGTCAGTAAAATATTAATGTAGGTATATTCCCAGACTACAATTTTACATTTAAAAAATTGACTCTAAATAAATATTTTTATTAAAATTTTTCAGTACCCAATATTCCTCATGTTCTTTTTTCCTCAAGCGTTTAGAATCATTATCAACTACATGTTTTCTTACTCCTTTAGTATTCAGTACAAGTAGTCCACAGTGATGAACAGATCATTTTCTAAAAGTTCTTTACTAGTTTTTCTTTCAAACTCAGCATGTATTTTCCTATAAAATCAATATGGTTATGAGGTTCTTAGATTAGCCTAGATCACAAAATTGGCCCCTTAATATACAGCCCAGAACAGTAACTAGTTGATAGTACTTTAAAATCACTGTTTGTTAAAAAATTTACTTAAAAGTTTTCTAATAGTAGTTCTGAATGCCAAACATCTCAAATTCCAGCTCTGCCATTTACTAGAATCACTTAACTTCCCTAAACTTTCATTTCTTTCCCTGAGGCAACACATATTTATTATCTATCATGTGGAAGACTAGGGTAAGCAATGAATAAAATGGACAAAAAATTGCTCTCATATAGCTTATTTTCTAGTGGAAGATGATAGACAATGGCCATAATAAATAAATAATGTATATAGTATCTTTGAAGGCAATAAGTGCAACGGTGACAAAGCAGAGAAAAGGGCTGAGGAATGCTGAGCTAAGAAGAGGTTCCAATTTAAAAGAGTGGTTAAGGCAGGCCATATTAAGAAAGTAACACTTGAGCAAGGGATTCAGAGAGGTTAAAAAACAAGCCATGTAGATTTCTTGGATAAGTGTTCCAGGCAGAGAGAACAGCCAGGGCAAGGGCTCTGAAGTGTGAGCAAGGCTGGCAGTGTGGCTGGGACAGAATGCATGATAGAGAGAATAGTCATATGTGGAGTTTACAGCCTGGTAAATCACCGTAAGAATGTAGGCTTTAATACTAAATGAAAAAGAAACCCACTGGAAGCAAGGTGACCAGGTAGGAGATATGTTAGTTTAGACCAGGGTAGTTACAGTGAAGTGGCAAGAAATAATAAGATTCTGGCTATGTTTTGAAGGTGGAGTCAGTAAGATTTCCTAAAAAACTGGTTGTGTGGTGCTGGGCAAGGGAATCGTGTGCAACCTGTTGACCATTCCATGGTTGCAAAAGAATATGCCTTGGGCCTGGAATAGTTTCTTACATGAAGAACAGGAGCCCTCACAGTCTGTGCTGGGCTTATTATTACCTTGTTTAGGAATTTCTTTCCCTCTTCTGAGTTTGATTTATACTTCTTTGTTCTGCTTAAGTGTGTGTCATATGGCGCCTGGCTTACCCCACTGCTATTTCTGTCCCTGGTGGAGAGCGAACAAGGTCCTTCACTTGCAGCACAAAAGGGGTGTATACAGATCATTCCCTGCCATGGCTGTGAGACAAGATCCACTGACACTTATTACTGATACTGTTGTTCTGTCTCTTCTGTATGTGAGTACAGTGTTGTTCCATCCAGTGCCTCTGTGAGTCATGTTTTTCTTGGCAACCCTAATACCTGCAAACCGTGTTGTGGGTTAATATCCTGGGATTGCTGTTCTGGTGGTAGACAACAGGTATTACCTACTCAACATGTAGTGTAAGAGGAAGAAACTAGCAGCAAGGATGATTCAATGTTTGTAGACTGAAGAATTGAAAGAATGGAGTTACTGTTAGCTGAGATGGGAAAAAAAAACTACGGGTGAGCAGCTTTTGTGAGAAAGATCAAACATTCTGTTTTACATAGGCTGTATTTGAGATATCTGTTAGAGCTCTAGAGGAGAAATCAAATAGGCAATTGAATATATAAGTTTGAAGTACAAGGAATTGGTTGGGGTCAGATATATAAATTTGGAAATTATCAATGAATGCATGGTATTTAAAGCCATGAGACTGAATGAGGCTACCAATGCAATAAATGTAGATAGAAAACAGATGTCCAAAGACTGAAATGAAGAAGTTGAGAAAAAGAGAAAGCATGAGCAAAAGTGACTGCAAGAAAAAAAGTAGTAGAAGCCAAGTGAAGAAAGTGCTTGAAGAACAAGGGAGTGATCAACAGTGCACGATGGTGCTGACAGGTCTGGAGGAAGAAGACTGAGATTTAATAATTAGAGTTATGATATGGAATACATTTGTGTTCTGACCACACCATTTTCAGAAAAGTGGTATAGGTGAAATCCTAAATGAAAAGGGTTTAATAAAAAGTAAGAAGAGAGGAATCAGTAACAGCAACTATAGATCAATCTTTTGAGGATTTTTTTTTTTTTTTTTTGGTAAAGTAAAGCAGGTATCTTCATCGGTAACACACAGGTAAAAATAGAAACCACCATACAAACTTAAGGATTAAACACAATGCCTAGCACACAGGGATGTGCTGACTAAATGGCAGTAATGACTGGCTGATGTCAAGGAAAATTACTATGTCTTTCTTTCAAATAACCCATTTGATTTATCGTCAGGAATGAATATGGAGCTGCCTGGATAGGGTCTTACTCATTGCTAAAATTCTTATGGATTCTTAGATTCACTTCCTTCTTGAAAATAATCAGTTTTTCTTTACAGGTGCCTAAAACAAAAATCAATTTGTTTACCAGTTTTGTGTACCTTCCTTCCATTCTTGAAGCCAGAGATACTGATTTAGGTCTAACATATCTTTGCAAACTCTCATAAGTAAAACTCATGAAGAACGGAAAGGGTAATAAAATTCATCTTTAAAAAGTAATTAAGCTTCCTGTTCCCTTCCTGAAACCATTAGGCAGAGCAAGATAGAACATTCACACAGGGGTGGCCTGGTGTGGAGTGTCAGACCCTAAAAAAAATGACAAGCCCACCCAGGTGGGGATGTGGGTGGCCAAGAATGGAGAATCAATGTATGACAAGATAAGGAGGAGTTCACCTAGGGTGACATCCTGGCACAGGGTGTTAGAGCTTACTATGGTAAGGAGGGTATTTGCACACAAGAGAACTGGCAGCAGTAATGAGAGATTGGATATATAGAGAGATACTGCTCAAAAAGATAAATATATTAAGGATAATGGGAGCTACATTTCTCCCTGTCAGAGAAGTTAGTTACAAATATAGGAAGGGAGAACACTAGATTAATCTTCTGCTGTTGGATTGGAATTGGAAATACTGCTATGAATCCCTAGTTTTCAACACAAATGGTTATATATAGAAAAAAATATGGGCAGTGACATCAGCAAAAAGGCAGAGCAAGAATCACCAAAAATTAGCTCCTCCACAATAGCAGGAAATATCACAAAAATAATCAGAATCAACTTTTTCAGAACTCTAGAAATTGACCAAATACCTGCAGCTGCCTGGAGGGTAATTATTCCAGAAAAATAACTGAATCTTGGTAAGAACAGGGAGCTTTGTGGCGTTTTTAACTTGCTTTGGTCCCATCTCCCACCCTCCAGCTCCATGATAACCTTGAAAACTAACAGCTTGCATTTGCAATGACAAGCAGTCTGGCAGACATCAGAGACAGTGAAATGCAAAGCCTTATTCCCAGAGAATTATCATTATTTGACCTGAATGGTGGTTCCCTGGAACACTCCACTTGCAAGACTCACCCAATATGAAAAGCCTTTTTCCTGGGGGCATTTGTCAAAAGCAGTTACAGGCAACTGTTTAATTTTGTGGCTGTCTGAGAAGGTAGATACAAATTGGGGCAAACGACTACACAAGCAGTATGGAGTTTCCTAAAAAAACTACAAATAGAACTACCATATGATCCAGCAATCCCACTACTGGGAATTTATCCAAAGAAAAGGAAATCAAGATGTTGAAGGGATATCTGCACTCCTTTATTCACTGCAGCATTTACAATAGCCAAGATAAGAAATCAACCCAAGTGTCCAACAACAGATGAATGGATAAAGAAAATGTGGTATATATACCAAATGGAATACTTTAAGCCACAAAAAAGAATGAAATCCTGTCATTTATGGCAACATGAAAAAGGAGGACATTATGTTAAATAAAATAAGCCAGGAACAGAAAGTTAAATACTGCATGTTCTCATTCATATGCAGAAGCTAAAAAAGTTGATCTCATAGAAGAAAGAAGTAGAATAGAGGATACTAGAAGCTTGGAAGGGTAGAGAGAAGGGGGTGGAGAGAAAGATTTGTTAAAGTGTACAAAATTACAGCTAAATGGGAGAAATAAGTTCTAGTGTTCTATAGCACTGTAGGATGACTATAGCTAACAATAATAGTTTCAAATAGCTGGAAGGAAGATATTGAATATTCTCAACACAAAGAAATGATAAATATTTCAGATGGAAATGCTAATTACCTTGATCTGAGTATTTTACATTGTATGTATCAAAATACCACTATGTAACCCTAACTATACACAATAAAAAATTGTGGCAAATACACTAATCAAAAAGCTTAAAAGGAAATGCTGGGGAATGAGACATCCATAAAGGCTTTGAAAGACTCAGATATATTTCTGAGAACTTAGAGAGCAATGCTCATGTGCAGGGCTATGTACATGCTCAAGGCTTTGTGCATTAGGAAAGTCCTGAGAAGGCTCTACACTCTTGCCTTTGGCTGACTTTGAAGTTCTATACAAGCAGGAGGTGAAAGCAAGACAGAGTTTTCAAATGAATGGTTGAGTAATACAAACGCATGTTCAAACACACACAGAACTCCTTGGCAAAGACTGGTAGACTTACTGGTTCCAGAAATTTAAGGACATGTCTATTCAATCATTAGCTGACCACCAAGCAGAGATTTCAGTGGACAGACATGACAAAGAATACAAACTCTACAGAATTAGTTCACAAAAGTCAGTAACCAATCAAACAACTGCCACAACAAACAATAATATCACCAGACAAATCCATAAAAACAGAATATAGGTTAATGATTGCCAAGGGCTGAGGGCAGGGGTAATAAAGGGTGATTGATTTCTAATGGGTATAAGGTTTCTTTTTGGACTGATGGAAATGTTCTGAAATTAAACAGTAGTAATGGTTGCACAACTCTGTAAATTCTAAAACTCAATGAATTGTACATTTATTCTATTCTATTCTATTTATTGAGAAGGAGTCTCACTCTGTTGCCCAGGCTGGAGGGCAGTGGCATGATCTCGGCTCTCTGCAACCTCTGCCTCCCAGGTTTAAGTGATTCTCCTGCCTCAGCCTTCCAAATAGCTGGGATTACAGGCACCCACCACTATGCCTGGATAATTTTTGTATTTTTAGTAGAGACGGAGTTTCACCATGTTGGAACAGGCTGGTCTCGAACTCCTGACCTCAGGTCATCCACCCGCCGTGGCCTCCCAAAGTGCTGGGATTACAGGCGTAAGCCACTATGCCCAGCCTGAATTGTACACTTTAAAGGGGTGAATGTTATGTGAATTATGTATTAATAAAAAAAAATGGGCATAAATACATGTTTGTATGCACACACACATGCATATATGTATATACATATAGATTCCTTAGTTCTATACAATGAGATGACTTGTAAGCAATGACAACTCTATAACAATAAACATATTTACCAAGCAGATCTTGGTTTCTTAATATTTTGACTAAAGGAAACAAGGCTCTTTGGAGAAAGATCTAATTCTAGAGCTGGGACAGAGACATAAGCCTGGAACATCTTTCTGAACCATAAAGAAAGGCAAGGCTCAAAGGATGATGGAATATATTAAAAGGACACAGAAACCAGCTTGAAGTCTTCCCACTGGACAATATGGGGACAATTTGAACACCAAAACAAATAATGATAGCAAGGAAATACAATCCATTGAATAAAATGAGAATTCATGAGTCCATATTGATATAACATATAAATAAACTAATAAATTGAAAGTCTGATGAGAAATGGGGCAATTAAATAGTTATGAAGTATCTCTACACAAAATACCTATTAATTACAATGGGGAAAAGAGTAATTTCATCGTGGAGTAGCCTGGTAGACACACCTTATTAATGTGATCACACTAATCATCACCAATAATGGGAAAAAATGAAACTGCATACATATTACCTGAGTGGAAGAAATAAGAACAGATTATTCTTTCCGTGTTGTTCCTGCCAAAGATGTATAACCTGAATCTAACCATGACAAAACATTAGACATGCCCAAATTGAGGGATATTCAAAAAAATGGCCTGTAATCTTCGAAAGCATCAAGGTCAAGAAAGTGAATGAAAGAGTAAGAAATGGTTCCAGGTTGAAGGGAATTACAGACATGACAACTTAATGAAATAAGAGATTCTGAACTGGATCCTTTTTCTAATCTATCAAGAACATTTGGATGATTAGTAAAAACTGAATGATGTCTATAGATTAGGTAGTACTGATTTGGATGTTGCATTATGATTATGTAGAAGAATACCCTTGTTTATAAGAAAAACATCCTAAAGGGGTGATGAGGCATTATGTTAGCAAATCACTCTCAAACAGTTTAGGAAAACAAAATTCTGAACTTGTAGCTTTTATGAGTTTGAGGTTGTTAAAAATACACAGAAATCTGGAAATATATGTATATATAAATTTAACAGTATCATTTTCTCTGTTGAATCTAATCATAAAAAATGAGTTTAAAAAAGGTTATTACATTTGTCCTATATGCTGGGGAAAAAGGAGAGTATCAACATAAGCTCTAAAAATAGATTCAGTGATGTGAAATAAACACTGGAGACAATAAATGTAGAAAACTAGATGTACTCACAAATATACACTCACAAAGCAATTTTCTTATCTAACATAGCTGGCAAAATTCCTATATGTAAGTTTCCTTTTATGTAACATTGCAAAGAAAAAAAGCCCTTTGGCAACAATTTAAAAGTGAATTCACATACTTTTTTTAAAGACACAGAAATGTAAAACAACTAGAACACCATATTTTTTTTAAAAAAATTGTAATGTCCTCATTACAAGTAAACTACTAACTGAATATGGTAAATTACTCAGAGTGTTTAGTTTACATTCTTGGACTTTTGATTTTTAAATAGGGTCTAATACAGGACACCACTCATGAACTATACAAAATGAAGAAAAGCTATAGCCTTGCCCTAAGGAATGTAGCCTGAAAAGTTTTTATGAATAAAAGTACTTCACAGAAGAAGTAAGTGATAGAAATAGAATGCTCTTTTAGGGTTTATATGCATTAAATTTTCATCTAAAATATCTGTATTCTGGCCATAAAAATACACATTAGGTCTCCAACAGAAGAGGCTGTAATTGAACGAGGGCCCAACTGACTGCTATGCTGTAAAATCATTCCTGCGTTTGTACCAAGGCCATAGTTCCCATGAGGTTCCCAGGAGCTGTGACTGAGCACAGCAGGAATATTAAGGTGGGCCAGCTTCTGAGGAAATGGGACCTAATTAGTAACTTTGGCTGACGACTCACCATTGGTCTTTTCAAATGTTCCTTAGAAACAAACTACATCTACAATATTTGCACCTAACTTTCCTTTCTTCTTCCCTTGGAGTCAGACTTGGGTTGTGATCCAATGGCTCTCCGAGACTCTCCCAGCTCCTTCCCTATTTTCTCTTACAACCATTTCCCATAATACATTTCTTACACACTTAATCCTGTCTTGGTGACAGGCTTCTCAGAGGATCTGAACTAACATACTCATTTTCATCAAGTCAAATTCACAGAGCTAATTATATTGACACAATGTTACTAGTACTACACTTGGCTCTCTAGGACAAAGAAAATATGAGATAGCTTCTTCCCTCAAACACTGAACACAATGCAGAAAACATTTAAATGAAAGTAATCAGATATTGTTCAAAATATGATACATAGGGCTGGCAAGATGAACAAATAGAAACAGCTCCAGTCTGCAGCTCCCAGCTAGATCAACGCAGAAGGCGGGTGATTTCTGCGTTTCCAACACAGGTACCAGCTCATCTCATTGAGACTGGTTAGACAGTGGGTACGGGGGCAACCTGAAGCAGGGTGGGGTGTCACCTCACAAGGGAAGTGAAGGGGTCAGGGAACTCCCTCCCCTAGCCAAGGGAAGCCATGAGGAACAATGCAATCTGGCCCAGATATGACACTTTTCCCATGGTCTTTGCAACCCACAGACCAGGACATTCCCTCGGATGCCTACACCACCAAGGCCCTGGGTTTCAAGCACAAAACTGGGTGGCCATTTGAGCAGACACCAAGCTAGCTGCAGGAGTTTTTTTTAATACCCCAGTGGCACCTGGAATGCCAGAACCATACACTCCCCTGGAAAGGGGGCTGAAGCCAGGGAGCCAAGTGGTCTAGCTCAGCAGATCCCACCCCCATGGAGCCCAGCAAGCTAAGATCTGCTGTCTTGAAATTCTCACTGCCAGCATAGCAGTCTGAAGTTGCCCTGGGTTACTCCAGCTTGGTTGGGGGAGGGGCGTCCACC
Source organism: Homo sapiens (assembly GCF_000001405.40). Taxonomy (NCBI): domain Eukaryota; kingdom Metazoa; phylum Chordata; class Mammalia; order Primates; family Hominidae; genus Homo; species Homo sapiens. The sequence continues at coordinate 174,653,130 of NC_000001.11, read as the reverse complement.
ATTACTGAGGCTGGAGTAGGCGGTTTTCCCCTCACAGTGTAAACAAAGCCTCTGGGAAGTTCGAACTGGGCAGAGCCCACCCCAGCTCAGAAAAGATACTGTAGCCAGACAGCCTCTCTAGATTCCTCCTCTCTAGGCAGGGCTTCTCTGAAAGAAAGGCAGCAGCCCCAGTCAGGACCTTAGAGATAAAACTCCCATCTCCCTGGGACAGAGCACCTGGGGGAAGGGGAGGCTGTGGGCACACCTTCAGCAGACTTAAACACTCCTGCCTGCCGGCTGTAAAGAGAGCAGCAGATCTCTCATCACTGTGCTTGAGTTCTGCTAAGGGACAGACTGCCACCTCAAGTGGGTTCCAGACCCCTGTGCCTCCTGACTGGGGACACCTCCCAGCAGGGGTCGACAGACATCTCATATAGGAGAGCTCCGGCTGGCATCTGGCGAGTGCCTCTCTAGGACAAAGCCTCCAGAGGAAGGAACAGGAAGCAATCTTGCTGTTCTGAAGCCTATGCTGGTGATACGCAGGCAAACAAGGTCTGGAATGGACCTCCAGCAAACTCCAGCAGACCTGTAGCAGAGGGGCCTGTTAGAGGAAAACTAACAAACAGAAAGGAACAGCATCAACATCAACAAAAAGGACATCCACGCAAAAACGCCATCCAAAGGTTACCAACATCAAAGACCACAGATAGATAAATCCATGAAGATGAGGAAAAACCAGCGGAAAAAGGCTGAAAATTCCAAAAACCAGAACACCTCTTCTCCTCCAAAGGATCACAACTCCTTGCCAGCAAGGGAACAAAACTGGATGGAGCTCCAAGACACATAATTGTCAGAATGACCACAGTGGAAATGAAGGAAAAAATGTTAAGGGCAGCCAGAGAGAAAGGTAGGGATACCCACAAAGGGAAGCCCAACAGACTAACAGTGGATCTCTCGGCAGAAAGTCTACAAGCTAGAAGAGAGTGGGGGCCGATATTCAACATTCTTAAAGAAAAGAATTTTTAACCCAGAATTTCATATCCAGCCAAACTAAGCTTCATACGTGAAGGAGAAATAAAATACTTTACAGACAAACAAATGCTGAGAGATTTTGTCACCACCAGGCCTGCCTTAAAAGAGCTCCTGAAGGAAGCGCTAAACATGGAAAGGAACAACCGGTACCAGCCACTGCAAAACCATGCCAAATTGTAAAGACCATCGAGTCTAGGAAAAAACTGCATCAACTAACGAGCAAAATAACCACCTAACATCATAATGACAGGATCAAATTCACACATAACAATATTAACTTTAAATGTAAATGGAATAAATGCTCCAATTAAAAGACACAGACTTGCAAATTGGATAAAGAGTCAAGACCTATCAGTGTGCTGTATTCAAGAAACGCATCTCACCTGCAGAGACACACATAGGCTCAAAACAGAAGGATGGAGGAAGATCTACCAAGCAAATGGAAAACAAAAAAAGGCAGGGGTTGCAATCCTAGTCTCTGATAAAACAGACTTTAAACCAACAAAGATCAAAAGAGACAAAGAAGGCCATTACATAATGGTAAAGGGATCAATTCAACAGGAAGAGCTAACTATCCTAAATATATATGCACCCAATACAGGAGCACCCAGATTCATAAAGCAAGTCCTGAGTGACCTACCAAGAGACTTAGACTCCCACACAATAATAATGGGAGACTTTAACACCCCACTGTCAACATTAGACAGATCAACGAGACAGAAAGTTAACAAGGATACCTGGGAATTGAACTGAGCTCTGCACCAAGCAGACCTAATAGACATCAACAGAACTCTTCACCCCAAATCAACAGAATATACATTCTTTTCAGCACCACACCACACCTATTCCAAAATTGACCACATAGTTGGAAGTAAAGCTCTCCTCAGCAAATGTAAAAGAACAGAAATTATAACAAACTGTCTCTCAGACCACAGTGCAATCAAACTAGAACTCAGGATTAAGAAACTCACTCAAAATCACTCAACTACATGGAAACTGAAAAACCTGCTCCTGAATGACTGCTGGGTACATAACGAAATGAAGGCAGAAATAAAGATGTTCTTTGAAACCAACGAGAACAAAGACACAACATACCAGAATCTCCGGGACACATTCAAAGCAGTGTGTAGAGGGAAATTTATAGCACTAAATGCCCACAAGAGAAAGCAGGAAAGATCCAAAATTGACACCCTAACATCACAATTAAAAGAACTAGAAAAGCAAGAGCAAACACATTCAAAAGCTAGCAGAAGGCAAGAAATAACTAAAATCAGAGCACAACTGAAGGAAATAGAGACACAAAAAACCCTTCAAAAAATTAATGAATCCAGGAGCTGGTTTTTTGAAAGGATCAACAAAATTGATAGACCGCTAGCAAGACTAATAAAGAAGAAAAGAGAGAAGAATCAAATAGACGCAATAAAAAATGATAAAGGGGATATCACCACCGATCCCACAGAAATACAAACTACCATCAGAGAATACTACAAATACCTCTACACAAATAAACTAGAAAATCTAGAAGAAATGGATAAATTCCTCGACACGTACACCCTCCCAAGACTAAACCAGGAAGAAGTTGAATCTCTGAATAGACCAATAACAGGCTCTGAAATTGTGGCAATAATCAATAGCTTACCAATCAAAAAGAGTCCAGGACCAGATGGATTCACAGCTGAATTCTACCAGAGGTACAAGGAGGAACTGGTACCGTTCCTTCTGAAACTATTCCAATCAATAGAAAAAGACGGAATCCTCCCTAACTCATTTTATGAGGCCAGCATCATCCTGATACCAAAGCCGGGCAGAGACACAACCAAAAAAGAGAATTTTAGACCAATATCCTTGGTGAACACTGATGCAAAAATCCTGAATAAAATACTGGCAAACCGAATCAAGTGGCACATCAAAAAGCTTATCCACCATGATCAAGTGGGCTCCATCCCTGGGATGCAAGGCTGGTTCAATATACGTAAATCAATAAATGTAATCCAGCATATAAACAGAACCAAAGATAAAAACCACATGATTATCTCAATAGATGCAGAAAAGGCCTTTGACAAAATTCAACAACACTTCATGCTAAAAACTCTCAATAAATTAGGTATTGATGGGACGTATCTCAAAATGATAAGAGCTATCTATGACACACCCACAGCCAATATCATACTGAATGGGCAAAAACTGGAAGCATTCCCTTTGAAAACTGGCACAAGACAGGGATGCCCTCTCTCACCACTCCTATTCAACATAGTGTTGGAAGTTCTGGCCAGGGCAATCAGGCAGGAGAAGGAAATAAAGGGTATTCAGTTAGGAAAAGAGGAAGTCAAATTGTCCGTTTGCAGATGACATCATTGCATATCTAGAAAAACCCATTGTCTCAGCCCAAAATCTCATTAAGCTAATAAGCACCTTCAGCAAAGTCTCAGGATACAAAATCAATGTGCAAAAATCACAAGCATTCTTATACACCAATAACAGACAAACAGAGAGCCAAATCATGAGTGAAAGGTCGGGTTACCCACAAAGGGAAGCACATCAGACTAACAGCGGATCTCTCTGAGGAAACCCTACAAGCCAGAAGAGAGTGGGGGCCAATATTCAACATTCTTAAAGAAAAGAATTTTCAACCAGAATTTCATATCCAGCCAAACTAAGATTTATAAGCAAAGGAGAAATAAAATCCTTTACAGACAAGCCATCGCCGAGGGATTTTGTCACCACCAGACCTGCCCTAAAAGAGCTCCTGAAGGAAGCACTAAATATGGAGAGGAAAAACTGGTACCAGCCACTGCAAAAACATACCAAATTGTAAAGACCATCAACACTATGAAAATGCTGCATTAACTAATGGGCAAAAGAACCAGCTAGCATCATAACGACAGGATCAAATTCACACGTAACAATATTAACCTTAAATGTAAACAGGCTAAATGCCCGAATTAAAAGACACAGACTGGCAAATTGGATAAAGAGTCAAGACCTATCAGTGTACTATATTCAGAAGACCCATCTCATGTGCAAAGACACAGACAGGCTCAAAATAAAGAGATGGGGGAATATTTACCAAGCAAATGGAAAGCAAAAAAAAGCAGGGGTGGCAATCCTAGTCTCTGATAAAACAGACTTTAAACCAACAAAGATCAAAAAAGTCAAAGATGGGCATTACATAATGGTAAAGGGATCAATTCAACAAGAAGAGCTAACTATCCTAAATATATATGCACCCAACATAGGAGCACCCAGATTCATAACACAAGTTCTTAGAGACCTACAAAGAGACTTAGACTCCCATACAATAATAGTGGGAGACTTTAACACCCCACTGTCAATATCAGACAGATCAACAAGACAGAAAATTAACAAGGATATTCAGGACTTGAACTCAGCTCTAGACCAAGCGGACCTAATAGATATCTACAGAATTCTCCACCCCAAATCAACAGAATATACATTTTTCTGAGCACCACATCGCACTTATTCTAAAATTGACCACAAAATTGGAAGTAAAACACTCCTCAGCAAATGCAAAAGAATGGAAATCATAACAGTCTGTCAGACGACACTGTCATCAAATTAGAACTCAGGATTAAGAAACTCACTCAAAATTGCACAACTACATGGAAACTGAATAACTTCATGTGGAATGTTTACTGGGTAAATAACAAAATTAAGGTGGAAATAAATAAGTTCTTTGAAACCAATGAGAACAAAGACACAATGTATCAGAATCTCTGGGACACAGTTAAAGCGTGTTTAGAGAAAAATTTATAGCACTAAACCCCCACATCAGAAAATGAGAAAGATCAATAATTGACACCCTAACATCACAATTAAAAGAACTAGGGAAGCAAGAGCAAACACATTCAAAAACTAGCAGAAGACAAGAAATAACTAATATCAGAGCAGAACTGAAGGAGATAGACATGAAAAACCCTTCAAAAAAAACTCAATGAATCCAGGAGGTGGTTTTTTGAAAAGATTTACAAAATAGATAGAACATTACCCAGATTAATAAAAAAGAAAAGAGAGAAGAATCAAATAGACACAATAAAAAATGATAAAGGGGATATCACCACTGATTCCACAGAAATACAAACTATCAGAGAATACTATAAACACCTTTACACAAATAAACTAGAAAATCTAGAAGAAATGGATGAATTCCTGAATACATACACCCTCCCAAGACTAAACCAGGAAGAAGTCGAGTCCCTGAATAGACCAATAACAAGTTCTGAAACTAAGGCAGTAATTAATAGCCTACCAACCAAATAAAGCCCAGGACCAGATGGAGTCACAGTTGAATTCTACCAGAGGTACAAAGAGGAGCTAGTACCATTCCTTCTGAAACTATTTCAAAAATAGAAAAAGAGGGACTCCTCCCTAACTCATTTTATGAGGCCAGCACCATCCTGATCCCAAAACCTGGCAGAGACACAACAAAAAAAGAAAATTTCAGGCCAATACCCCCGATGAACATCAATGCGAAAATCCTCAATAAAATATTGGCAAACTGAACCCAGTAGCAAATGAAAAAGCTTATCCACCAAGATCAACTCGGCTTCTTCCCTGGGATGCAAGGCTTGTTCAACATATGCAAATCAATCAATGTAATCCAACACATAAACAGAACCAATGACAAAAACCACATGATTATCTCAATAGATGCGGAAAGGGCTTCGATAAAATTCAACACTCCTTCATGCTAAAAACTCTCAATAAACTAGGTATTGGTGGAGCATATCTCAAAATAATAAGAGCTATTTATGACAGACCCACAGCCAATATCATACTGAATGGGCAAAAGCTGGAAGCACTCCCTTTGAAAACCGGCACAAGACAAGGATGCCCTCTCTCACCACTCCTATTCAACACAATATTGGAAGTTCTGGCCAGGGAAATCAGGCAAGAGAAAGAAATAAAGGGTATTCAAATAGGAAAAGAGGAAGTCAAATTTTCTCTGTTTGCAGATGACATGATTATATATTTAGAAAACCCCACTGTCTCAGCCCAAAGTCTCCTTAAGCTGCTAAGCACCTTCAGCAAAGTCTCAGGATACAAAATCAATGTGCAAAAATCACAAGCATTCCTATACACCAATAATAGACAAACAGCCAAATCATGAGTAAACTCCCATTCACAATTGCTACAAAGAGAATAAAATACCTAGGAATACAATTTACAAGGGATGTGGAGGCCCTTTTCAAGGAGAACTACAAACCACTGCTCAAGGAAATAAGAGAGGACACAAACAAATGGAAAAACATTCCATGCTCATGGATAGAAAGAATTAATATTGCAAAAATGGTCATACTGCCCAAAGCAATCTTTAGATTCAATGCTATCCCCATCAAGCTACCACTGACACTCTTCACAGAATTAGAAAAAACTACTTTAAATTTCTCATGTGGAACCAAGAAAGCCTGTATAGCCAAGACAATCCTAAGCAAATAGAACAAATCTGGAGGCATCATGCTACTTGATTTCAAACTATAATACAAGGCTACAGTAACGAAAACAGCATGGTACTGGTATCAAAACAGATATATAGACCAATGGAACAGAACAGAGGCCTCAGAAATAACACCACACATCTACAAACATCTGATATTTGACAAACCTGACAAAAACTAGCAATGGGGAAAGTATTCCTATTTAATAAATGGTGTTGGGAAAACTGGCTAGCCATATGCAGAAAACTGAAACTAGACCCCTTACTTAAATCTTATACAAAAATTAACTCAAGATGGATTAAAGACTTAAACATAAGACCTAAAACCATAAAAATCCTAGAAGAAAACCTAGGCAATACCATTCAGGACATAGGCATGGGCAAATACTTCATAACTAAAACACCAAAAGCAATAGCAACAAAAGCTAAAATTGATGAATGGGATCTAATTAAATGAAAGAGCTTCTGCACAGCAAAAGAAACTTATCATCAGTGAACAGGTAACCTACAGAATGGGAGAAAATTTTTGCAATCTATCCATCTGACCAAGGGCTAATATCCAGAATCTACAATGAACTTAATTAAACAAATTTACAAGAAAAAAACAAACAACCCCATCAAAAAGTGGGCAAAGGATATGAACAGACACTTCTTAAAGGAAGATATGTATGTGGCCAACAAACATATGAAAAAAAGCTCATTATAATTGGTCACTAGAGAAATGCATATCAAAACCACAATGAGATACCATCTCACACCAGTTAGAATGGCGATCATTAAAAAGTCAGGAAACAACAGATGCTGGAGAGGATGTGGAGAAACAGGAACACTTTTACACTGTTGGTGAGAGTGTAAATTAGTTCAACCATTGTGGAAGATTCCTCAAGGATCTAGAACTAGAAATACCATTTGACCCAGCCACCCCATTACTGGATATGTACCCAAAGGATTATAAATCATTCTACTATAAAGACACATGCATACATATGTTTATTGCAGCACTATTCACAATAGCAAAAACTTGGACCAACCCAAATGCCCATCAATGATAGACTGGATAAAGAAAATGTGGCACATATACACCATGGAATACTATGCAGCCATAAAAAAGAATGAGTTCATGTCCTTTGCAGGGACATGGATGAAGCTGGAAACCATCATTCTCTGCAAACCAAACACCACATGTTCTCATTCATAAGTGGGAGTTGCACAATGAGAACATATGGGCACAGGGAGGGGAACATCACACACTGGGGCCTGTTGGGGGGTGGGGGGCTAGGGGAGGGATAGCATTAGGAGAAATACCTAATGTAGATGACACGTTGATTGGGTGCTACAAACAACCATGGCACATCTATACCTATGAAACAAACCTGCATGCTCTGCACACATATCCCAGAACTTAAAGTATAATTGAAAAGATATATATAATACATAATCTAAATTTTATAAAATATTTTAAAAATAAATTTTATTGTGTATATTTGTGGTTTACAACACAACGTTATGTGATATATATTTATAGTAAAATGGTTACTACAGTGAAGCAGAGTAACATATCTATCATCTCACGTACTTTTTTTTGTTTGTGTAACAAGAGCATCTAAAATCTTCTTATTTAACAAAAATCCCTAAAACAATACAATTTTATTAACTATAGTGCTCATGTTATACATTTGATCTCCAGATTTGTTTTAATCTATAAATCACTGTGGGTATAGTGCGTAGGACTACCTTTATAAGGGAGATGGACAACTAAGATTTGGACAGATGGGAAGGAGGAGTAGGGCAATTCAGATTCACATTATTTCTAGGGAGAAAGGACGAAGGGTTCTGATTAAAGAAGAGGCTTTAAAGGTGCGGGAAGAGGAGGCTTCACTTATAAAAATATTGTCAACTGCATAACAATTAGTAACCAGGAGATAAATCCTCATAATTCTGTAACATAAAATAATCCATTCAAGAACAACTACAAGTTTTTGTCTAGGATATTTAAGCCATTTGAATATAGTATAGAAATAGATCTCAAATATGAAAAAAAATCATAATTCAGGAGGCACCATAAAGAGCATTTTATTTGAAGGTTCCCTGTGTTTCATCTTTGCAGGTTAGTTTTTTTTTTCTTTTGTATTTTAGATAGTAATCTTACTTTCCTTTTCCTCCTGAAAGAGTAGTGTTTTTTAAAAAGAGTGACTATAATCAAACCCTTAGGCGTCACACCAATCCCTTTATTCTAAGTTTATCCATTTTTATCATCCTCAAAATCCCACCCTTTCTCTTCTGTATCCTAGTAAGAGTGTGATGGCTTCAATCAGGCTTTCAGTTGAAAGACTACAGGCTTCACAGAAACTAAAAAGCTATTTCAAGGAAAGCTCTTAGGGACTAAGACCATGAAGAAATTTAAAAATCTCTTTAGGCACTCTGAAGAGTATTATAAATCACTCATTCTCTTTCCAGGACTCTAGCTTCACAAACCCTGACCTTTCACAGTCTCAGAAGAAAAATCTATATTTTAAAATCACATTATATCTTCTCAGTTGAGCTGTGACTCATAAAGTCTATCCTACTAATACGTATATTAAAGAGGACCAAAAAAACCCCCAAAATAACCCTTTTGTATGACTATAATGATACTAACAAATACAATAAATGATTTTGAAATCTTGTGAGTAAAGGGTAAGTATGAAATTAACCCCAAACATACATACATACATACATACATACACACACACACACACACACACACACCCCTATATAAGTGAAGTTTTTCAACTTTGGGTTGCTAAGATTTATTTATATGTGTGTGCATATATTTAGTGTTCTAAATAGATATAAACATAATTGTTCTTGGCAATAAAGCAGAATTGGACAATTCATCTAAAATGAATAATATGAAAAGATTTAAAAAGGAAAAAAACTAAATCAAACTCTGACTCTAAGAGATTAATATTTATCAGTATGCAAATTTGGTACCTTCTTTATTCTAATGGAGTAACTGTGGGGATCAAATAACGACATGCAAAAAATGCTTTCAAAACCACAGGGCTTTACAAATTTTTACTATTACTGTTATGATTATGTTGATCCACAGTAGGATGGTTCTCCAAGTCTTTCTTATAAGACCTGAAAGAATTCACTGTTCCGTAAGGAAGTTAATTTGCTTGGAGAATATGCTGCTGTCTCTAAGTGTCTGTTAAAATCACTTATTTCACTGCTCATTAGAATGTGCTGGCAAAGCAGGTGGCCCCAGGGGTTCAAAGGATTTCTTGGCAGCCCATATTTGGATCTGCATTAGAAGGTTGCCATAATTCAAAGCAGCTTACTAGGAAATCAAGGGAGAGATAGGAGATACACAGAGAATAGAAAAATCTGCTTGATTGTCCAAGTGCTTCCTGATTCCTCAAAAGCACTGCTCCAAACTAAATCCTTTTGGATCCATCTGATCCAGGAACACCTATCATCACACAACAAATGGCTCCTACTCTGGAATCCATCCGATTCCAAAGATATGAGTGGAAGGAGTTCCACAGAAGTAGGAGGAGCGCTTAGTCAGTGCTATGTAAAGAATATGGGGCTGAGCAGCTGGGCACAGTGGCTCACGCCTGTAATCCCAACACTCTGAGAGACCGAGGCAGGCGAATTGTCCGAATTCAGGGATTCAAGAGCAGCCTGATTGACATAGTGAAACCCTGTCTCTACTAAAAAGACCAAAATTAGCCCAGAGTGGTGGTGCGTGCCTGTAATCCCAGCTACTTGGAAGGGTGAGGTGGGAGGATTGCTTGAGCCTGGGATGCTGAAGTTGCAATGAACCAAGATTGCACCACTGCACCCCAGCCTGGGCAACAGAACAAGACCCCGAAGAGAAGAGGAGAGAAGAGGAGAGGAGAGGGGGAGAGGGAGAGAGGGGAAGAAGGGGAGAGGGGGAGAGGGGGAGAGGAGAGAGAGAGAGAGAAAAAGAAAAGAGAGAGAGACAGAGAAAGGAGAGGAGAGGAGAGGAGGGGAGAGGGTGGGGAGAGGAGAGGAGAGAGGACTATAATTTGTTCAGTAAATGCTGACATTTCAACTAGGGCTCATTCAGACACATCAAGAAAGAGTTGAATTAAAAGTAGTCAAATGGCTAGAAAATTGTATTGAAAATAATATCAACTAAGTGAAAAATAATTCATCCTCATAATCACAAATACCCCCTATGTCTAGAAAGCAATATAAATAATGTATGATTACATGTCATTTTAAGAGTCAGTGATTATTTGCATTCTCCAAAATTATGCAGCAGATAACTCATCATTAGTATCAAAACAATACTTTAACTGCTCTAGTTTTTATAATAAATCCAATCTTTTTGATAAAAATATTTGGTAAAATAAGGGTTAAGTTTATTTTTGTCCTCCTATAAACCATTATGCTATCAAATTATTAATCCAGATAAACAAAGGTATTAATCTCTGTATAATATATTCAATCTCTCCCATTAAGTTAATAGCAGTATCCTCTTTTTTCAGAGAGCATTTACACCAAACAAAAAATGAGAAAAAGCAATATGCACAAATTAAATTGTACATCAAATATCACTTTAAATCATATTGTTCTGAATAATATTTTACCTGATTACTATGACTAACTGGTCTTAGGTCTTATAAAGAGATGTATATCTAAAACTAAACTACTAATGCACTCCATTTGATGTAACAAACCGAACACTGTAACAGAAGGCCAGGTAAAATCTTCAGATTTAAGGAGAAGACCCTTTTACATCTTTAGTATTGAGAGCCAGAGCTAATAACTGACGCAGGATTTAACTGCTAAATTCTGCATTTATGTGTTATATGTCAGGAAAAAAAATTTGAACAACACTGAGAATCACAGAACATTGGAACCGGAACAATCTTATGACACCACACCCTTACAAATTTCCCTCATTCTTAGATCTACTTAGTGAAAGAATCAAAACCAGAACCAGATTTCCTGATGCCCAGTGCTTTAAACTATACCAACCTGTCTCCCAACTTATAGCAGATTTTTACATCTCATGTTAAATAATAAAAATGCAAAATATATTTGGGGTGGTAGTATATTCTTCCCTGTCTCATGGACATTCTTTTAAAATATGTTATTGACCTAACCAATAGGAAAGACAGGGAGAGAAAGAGGGAAGAACCAAATTTTCAGAAACTTTCATTTGCAGAAATCTATTAATTTGCAAACCTCTTCATCTGCAGAAACCTATGAATTCTACTAATACTTTCAGCTCAACTTCCCCCATACAAATTAATGACAACAGAAGAAGCTTTGAATCATTTCGATTTCCTCCTACTCTGAAGAAAGATATTAAGAGGCAAAACTGGAATTGACAGGGCCATTAAAACATGACAATGAGTTTTTAACAGTCTTCCCTCTAATGTGACAGTTCAAATCATTTCTCCTTTCACCAGAGCCACAGAAAACTTTTCAACTACAAAGTCAGATTGTTGTATCCTTGAAAACAGAGTTGATTTCTAAACTTATTGTCACTGAAATTCTCTTAATTTCTGCTCAATTTAAGAGCACAGCATATTATATCTCCAGTGTAGGCTCCATTGATGAGGAATTGTCAAAAATAAATGAGGTAATATATGTCAAAGTACTCTGCAAATGTAAAATTATTTTAATTAATTATATTTAATTAATATAATCTAAAATTATATTTAATTAATATAATTAAATATAATATATTATATTATATTTAATATAGAAAACACTATTTTAAAAAAAAAGGCCTACAATTGTGTTGCTGATGTGAAGAAGATGCAGCTTTCTTAGTGGTTAATCATTAGATGCATTTCCTTTCAAATCAGGAGCAAGAAAAGGATGTTTGCTATGATAGCTTTATTTGAACGCTATACTAAAGGTGTGGTCAGTGCAATAAGACAAGAGACAAATAGAAAAAGAATAAGGATTGGTAAAGGAAAAGCAAAACTGTCCTTATTTACATATAGCAAAGCAGCTGAGATAAGATCAAGGTGTTATTAATGTTTATTCAGTTCTGCGCGGGGTGTCCAGAATAGAAACTCAGAGGTGGACGGCTGAGTGTGAGGTATAATGCTAGTTATTATTCTAGAACCAATGTTTCTAGAAACAATGTTAGAACAGTTAGACTACACAGTTAGACTACCTTTAAGCCTTAGACTACCTTTAAATGGTTAGACTACCTTTAAGCCTTAAAGGTTACACACAGGCAGCTTTTGGGAATATGGGATGGGGGTCATAAAATAAAAGACTGTGGTTCAAATTGGATACAAAAAGCAAAGAAAAGTGGATGTGGAAGCTTGAGAATAATATTCCATTCTAAATTACTCATAAGTATGCTATACTAAATTACTCATAGATATGCTATCCTATTTGTGAGCTATCATCAAACTTAAGGTTTCCTGGCATGAGATACTAAATAACAGTAAATCAAGATGGGAAGGAACCGGGTCAATCACAAACCAAGCGGTCTACAGGGTAGGATGTATACATCTCTGCTCATATCCATTACCAAAGACTGTTGTGAAATTATTTTTATGTATATACAGCTCAGTACAGCATTAAAATCCTTAAAAACTTTTATTGCTTTTATTTAATACTATGTCTAATGTAATTTTGTTTTCTACATCTTCACAAAATTTAGTGTGATTTAAGCTACTTTTCGATAATAAAGTATCTCAGATATACATTTTACAATATTCTTCATTCAGAAAGAGTTTTAAAATGGTTTAGTCATGTTGTAAAATGTATACTGATAATCTAAAATGGCCACATGAGCTCTGGGAATGTACTGATGAGTATTTTCAAATGAATTCAAGGTTGCATTATTATTTGCAACACCAAATCAAAGTGTATCAACTATTTAAAAGTGCCAATCGTTCAACTTTTATTTTTGTGTTTGGTAATGTTTCAGATTATTTCCCCTCTAAATATTACATAACAAGGCAAATACTATTTTTACTACAATGGAGCAAAATGTTAAGTCAGAAGCTGCAAGCACATTAGAACCATCTGTTTTAGTTATGTGAAGAAAGTATCTAGTATCAATCAGAGAAAAGCTGAAGGGAAAGTCACTGACTGGCTGAAAATATACTATATGCTAGGGGAAAAAAATGTTGCATATGCCATAAACCAGACCCTCTTAAATAAACTTGGAAATGATATAAATTTTCCTAACCTCTTTACAAAAGCCAGTGTTAATCAGCTTGCAGAATTTCAAAGTAGTAGAAAAATGTTTTAAATAATTACTTTTGTCTTTCACAAGCATATAATGAACATATACCTTTTTTTGTGGCATCCAATGGTCTTTGGTACTTTTCAAAGTAGATGATATATCACTTTCTAAAGATCAGTATACTCTCAGATTATAAGTTATATATTTCTAGCTCTGAATGACACATTCATATAAAAATAGATTTCTAATCAGCATATATTTATAATCCTCCAAAATGGTTAGATAAAAAAATATGAGAGAGAGAAAAAGTAAGAAAAAAAGAGACAGGAGTGTGAAGAGGCCAAAACCACCAACATGCAAGGACTTTAATGAAAGTCGTGCCATTTGCAGAATTAAACATTAATCCTACTTGGTTAGAATATGTAGGTGAGTGCTTTTTTTTTTTTTTATTACACTTTAAGTTTTAGGGTACATGTGCACATTGTGCAGGTTAGATACATATGTATACATGTGCCATGCTGGTGCGCTGCACCCACTAACTCGTCATCTAGCATTAGGTATATCTCCCAATGCTATCCCTCCCCCCTCCCCCAACCCCACCACAGTCCCCAGAGTGTGATATTCCCCTTCCTGTGTCCATGTGATCTCATTGTTCAATTCCCACCTATGAGGGAGAATATGCGGTGTTTGCTTTTTTGTTCTTGCGATAGTTTACTGAGAATGATGGTTTCCAATTTCATCCATGTCCCTACAAAGGACATGAACTCATCATTTTTTATGGCTGCATAGTATTCCATGGTGTATATGTGCCACATTTTCTTAATCCAGTCTATCATTGTTGGACATTTGGGTTGGTTCCAAGTCTTTGCTATTGTGAATAATGCCGCAATAAACATACGTGTGCATGTGTCTTTACAGCAGCATGATTTATAGTCATTTGGGTATATACCAAGTAATGGGATGGCTGGGTCAAATGGTATTTCTAGTTCTAGATCCCTGAGGAATCGCCACACTGACTTCCACAATGGTTGAACTAGTTTACAGTCCCACCAACAGTGTAAAAGTGTTCCTATTTCTCCACATCCTCTTAAATGCTGGAGAAGTGAGTGCTTTTATAAGTGCTGTTTTTAAAAAACAGTAAATATAAAATGAAACAGATTTGTGAATATACTTCTTAATTCCACACTGGCTAATATTTGCTACTCATTACAAAGGCTAAATTGGATTATTCAGGAACTGATTACCTAACTTACAAATTAGCCATGATGTTTGCCTTTTTCTCCATATTATTACCAAATTTTTGTGCAGTTCATTATTCATTAACCATCTCTTTAGAATGTTAGATATCAACAATGTGAGTATACCCACCACACTTCATTCTGCATTTCTGATAAAATTAATAACTTGATGGCTATTCTATACTGACAGAGACAGAATCTTCTGTATCCAAGCAGAGCACATTTACTGAAAATCAGGAAACAGGTTTTTTCCAGGCCTACTTATAATGAGGGAGAAAAAAGATTTCAAAATGGGATATAAAAACCGTACAAAAATATATGATGTGACGTAACTCAGAATATATCAACAACATCCAATAATTTGCCAGTATTCAACAATAAGCACACTGATTCTTACACTTGCCTGTTGTCAGAAAAATGGAGACAATTGCTGCATGATCTTGTCAGAAGGACAGAGTCATCTAGGACTCTTTTGAGCTTTTATAGCATAGCCTCAGAGGACCTTTTGTTCCTTTCCTGTTAGCAGGAGAGCCAAACTGAGGCTATGCTGCGCCTCCTCCCTCATGAGGAGGCACGAAACATGCAACCGAAAAGTCACCTTCTGGGATCAGTACTGAGGATCTCATAGCGTGTGTGCAAAGCAGAAAACATGGCATAGTGCAAATAAGAAATGAAGACAGAGTAAAAAAATCCTTAAATGGGTTTCTAAAATATAGCTCTGTAAAATAATTTAGAAAAAGTGAGGAAGAGAGTCCTACCTTGCAGATCTTATAGAGCGATTCTTGACCATCTCCTCCAGTATCTTTAAAGTAATCATGTGCGGGAAATGTACGATGAATATCTCGAGTAATAACACTCTCCTGGGCTGAGTCCTAAAAAAGAAAGAAAATAGACCTGGTTATTAAATTTTTTCCCAGTTATGAAATATAATATATACACATGGTAAAAAACTCAAACAGCAAGAAAAGTAAACAACAGAAAAACATAAAAACTTCCCTTCTATCCCAGACCCATAGTCCTATACCCAAGATAAGTGCTACCAACAGCTCCTTTGTATCTTTTCACCCATCTATCTATACATATTTGTGTGTGTATGTATGTTTATATGGGGAGAAGGGGCAGGGATGGAGGGAAGTTGTATACATACATCTCCATTGAAGCAAACTAGACTGTTTCTTTCACTTAATGGGATAACATAGAGTGTTCCTTATCAAGACATGTACATATAGTTTATTCTCTGTAGGAGTGGTTACTTTTTAAAAATAAGGTATATCTGGATATAGATATATCATAATTTACTGAACATTCTCCTATTAATGACCATCTTCTTTGCATTTTTTTCTATTTATATAACAAACAATATCATAAGGAATATTTTATACATGGCTTATGCACGTGTTCAAGGATAAATTCCTTGAGGTTTAATTGCTAAGGCAAAAGTTACATGCATTTCCAATTTTGATGAATGTACTCTCTCTCTCCAGAACTGTCATTCCAATACATACTCCAAACAATAGTAGAGTATGTATTTCTCATCTGTCTAATACCACAAATTATCTAATTTTTAAATCTGACAATCTGATAAAAACTCAGACCATGGTCATTTAAAAAGTAAAAATACTGTCAATCTTTCCCAGGTTAATTACCCAACAAACTGATTCCACAAAACAGGAAGCTACAGGCTACTATATTAAGATGATCTCTTTTTTTTTTTTTTTTGAAGTAGAGTCTCACACTGTTGCCCGGGCTGGAGTACAATGGCACGATCTTGGCTCACCGCAACCTCCGCCTCCCGGGTTCAAGCGATTCTCCTGCCTCAGCCTCCCAAGTAGCTGGGATTACAGGTGCCCGCCACCACGCCCAGCTATTTTTTTTGTGTGTGTGTATTTTTAGTAGAGATGGGGTTTCACTGTGTTGGAACAGGCTGGTCTCAAACTCCTGACCTCGTGATTCACCCACTTCGACCTCCCAAAGTGCTGGGATTACAGGTGTGAAGGATGATATCTTCTTTAAAGATAAGCCTAGATATTTGTTGAAGACAAATTTAGAAACCAAAACCCCAAATTGAGTGAAATTCTAGCCTTATAAAAATGATTAAACATTCTCTTGATTTTATTTTATTCCTAGAAATGTTTATCTTTTTAAATGTCAAGAAAATAGTATGGGGCTACTTATAGCAACACTGATGGTGAAAATATTTTGTACAATTCACATCAGACTACTAATTGCAAATTAAAAGAATTGCTTAATGTCTTATTTCCATAAAGATTTGAAGAAACTTTCTCTTCAGTCTCAAATCAAGAAAGAAAAAAAGTTTAATATATGTTATTTTAATGAATGCCATTTTTCTTTCTCTTGATAGCTGCGAAGTATACAAGAAGGGGGTGGTTGATTAGCTCTAAGGTAAGCCACTACCCTTTCTTGCTGCCTTCATTTCAGTTGCTATTTCATGCTGGGTGGTAATTAGATCTTATATACAGAAAGAGAGGAAGCAAACCAAAAACTTCCAAATTTCCTAGCAAACATTGAACATATTACAAATCGATCCAGAGGAAATTCTGATGGCTTACAGGAATGAAATGCTAAACCTGAATTAAAATAGAGCCTTAAAAAATCACCATAACTTCAGTAAAAGGATACAGAGAAAATTTATATTTGCCAAGGTAAATGTAGTTTCTAATGATAAAGAAAACTGCAGGGTGGGGTGGGGGTATAGAATAAGGTAAGTATAAAGGTATTATATAAAGTGATATATTATGAAACATTTCTTTTATCTTGTCTGGAGTCTTGAGTACAAAAATCTGGTAACCAGGCAAACCAAAGTTTTCACTGCCAGGTTTTCTCCAACAGAAGAGCTCTCTTCCGATAAGTTAATAGTTTCCACTTATAAACTACCTGAAAGATGAGGAATAAAAATGTTACTACTGCCATTGCTGAAATATTTCAGGGGTAAATATGTGCCTATTGGCCCGCAGGATAACTCTTTTTGTACTTTTCAGGACATTAAGAGAGAGAAATCGTTGGACTGTATTCCCTAGGAACTGATTATGCATTTAGCATTATGCTGTGTTTAAATGGTTCCAATAGTCTGATTCAGGAAAAGAAAAATTGGTAAAAAGAAAAAAATCTAGAGAGTAAATTTGCCTAACACTGAGTAATTTTTTTCTTTTTTTTCTTTTTTTATTTTTTTATTTTATTATTATTTTATTTTTTATTATACTTTAAGTTTTAGGGTACATGTGCACATTGTGCAGGTTAGATACATATGTATACATGTGCCATGCTGGTGCGCTGCACCCACTAACTCGTCATCTAGCATTAGGTATATCTCCCAATGCTATCCCTCCCCCCTCCCCCCACCCCACCACAGTCCCCAGAGTGTGATATTCCCCTTCCTGTGTCCATGTGATCTCATTGTTCAATTCCCACCTATGAGGGAGAATATGCGGTGTTTGCTTTTTTGTTCTTGCAATAGTTTACTGAGAATGATGGTTTCCAATTTCATCCATGTCCCTACAAAGGACATGAACTCATCATTTTTTATGGCTGCATAGTATTCCATGGTGTATATGTGCCACATTTTCTTAATCCAGTCTATCATTGTTGGACATTTGGGTTGGTTCCAAGTCTTTGCTATTGTGAATAATGCCGCAATAAACATACGTGTGCATGTGTCTTTATAGCAGCATGATTTATAGTCATTTGGGTATATACCCAGTAAGGGATGGCTGGGTCAAATGGTATTTCTAGTTCTAGATCCCTGAGGAATCGCCACACTGACTTCCACAATGGTTGAACTAGTTTACAGTCCCACCAACAGTGTAAAAGTGTTCCTATTTCTCCACATCCTCTCCAGCACCTGTTGTTTCCTGACTTTTTAATGATTGCCATTCTAACTGGTGTGAGATGATATCTCATAGTGGTTTTGATTTGCATTTCTCTGATGGCCAGTGATGATGAGCATTTTTTCATGTGTTTTTTGGCTGCATAAATGTCTTCTTTTGAGAAGTGTCTGTTCATGTCCTTCGCCCACTTTTTGATGGGTTGTTTGTTTTTTTCTTGTAAATTTGTTTGAGTTCATTGTAGATTCTGGATATTAGCCCTTTGTCAGATGAGTAGGTTGCGAAAATTTTCTCCCATTCTGTAGGTTGCCTGTTCACTCTGATGGTAGTTTCTTTTGCTGTGCAGAAGCTCTTTAGTTTAATTAGATCCCATTTGTCAATTTTGTCTTTTGTTGCCATTGCTTTTGGTGTTTTGGACATGAAGTCCTTGCCCACGCCTATGTCCTGAATGGTAATGCCTAGGTTTTCTTCTAGGGTTTTTATGGTTTTAGGTCTAACGTTTAAATCTTTAATCCATCTTGAATTGATTTTTGTATAAGGTGTAAGGAAGGGATCCAGTTTCAGCTTTCTACATATGGCTAGCCAGTTTTCCCAGCACCATTTATTAAATAGGGAATCCTTTCCCCACTGCTTGTTTTTCTCAGGTTTGTCAAAGATCAGATAGTTGTAGGTATGCAGCGTTATTTCTGAGGGCTCTGTTCTGTTCCATTGATCTATATCTCTGTTTTGGTACCACTACCATGCTGTTTTGGTTACTGTAGCCTTGTAGTATAGTTTGAAGTCAGGTAGTGTGCTGCCTCCAGCTTTGTTCTTTTGGCTTAGGATTGACTTGGTGATGCAGGCTCTTTTTTGGTTCCATATGAACTTTAAAGTAGTTTTTTCCAATTCTGTGAAGAAAGTCATTGGTAGCTTGATGGGGATGGCACTGAATCTATAAATTACCTTGGGCAGTATGGCCATTTTCACGATATTGATTCTTCCTACTCATGAGCATGGAATGTTCTTCCATTTGTTTGTATCCTCTTTTATTTCCTTGAGCAGTGGTTTGTAGTTCTCCTTGAAGAGGTCCTTCACATCCCTTGTAAGTTGGATTCCTAGGTATTTTATTCTCTTTGAAGCAATTGTGAATGGGAGTTCACTCATGATTTGGCTCTCTGTTTGTCTGTTGTTGGTGTATAAGAATGCTTGTGATTTTTGTACATTGATTTTGTATCCTGAGACTTTGCTGAAGTTGCTTATCAGCTTAAGGAGATTTTGGGCTGAGACGATGGGGTTTTCTAGATAAACAATCATATCATCTGCAAACAGGGACAATTTGACTTCCTCTTTTCCTAATTGAATACCCTTTATTTCCTTCTCCTGCCTGACTGCCCTGGCCAGAACTTCCAAAGATGGGGAAAAAACAGAACAGAAAAACTGGAAACTCTAAAACGCAGAGCGCCTCTCCTCCTCCAAAGGAACGCAGTTCCTCACCAGCAACGGAACAAAGCCGGATGGAGAATGATTTTGACGAGCTGAGAGAAGAAGGCTTCAGACGATCAAATTACTCTGAGCTACGGGAGGACATTCAAACCAAAGGCAAAGAAGTTGAAAACTTTGAAAAAAATTTAGAAGAATGTATAACTAGAATAACCAATACAGAGAAGTGCTTAAAGGAGCTGATGGAGCTGAAAACCAAGGCTCGAGAACTACGTGAAGAATGCAGAAGCCTCAGGAGCCGATGCGATCAACTGGAAGAAAGGGTATCAGTGATGGAAGATGAAATGAATGAAATGAAGCGAGAAGGGAAGTTTAGAGAAAAAAGAATAAAAAGAAATGAGCAAAGCCTCCAAGAAATATGCGACTATGTGAAAAGACCAAATCTACGTCTGATTGGTGTACCTCAAAGTGATGCAGAGAATGGAACCAAGTTGGAAAACACTCTGCAGGATATTATCCAGGAGAACTTCCCCAATCTAGCAAGGCAGGCCAACATTCAGATTCAGGAAATACAGAGAATGCCACAAAGATACTCCTCGAGAAGAGCAACTCCAAGACACATAATTCTCAGATTCACCAAAGTTGAAATGAAGGAAAAAATGTTAAGGCAGCCAGAGAGAAAGGTCGGGTTACCCTCAAAGGGAAGCCCATCAGACTAACAGCGGATCTCTCGGCAGAAACCCTACAAGCCAGAAGAGAGTGGGGGCCAATATTCAACATTCTTAAAGAAAAGAATTTTCAACCCAGAATTTCATATCCAGCCAAACTAAGCTTCATAAGTGAAGGAGAAATAAAATACTTTACAGACAAGCAAATGCTGACAGATTTTGTCACCACCAGGCCTGCCCTAAAAGAGCTCCTGAAGGAAGCGCTAAACATGGAAAGGAACAACCGGTACCAGCCGCTGCAAAATCATGCCAAAATGTAAAGACCATCGAGACTAGGAAGAAACTGCATCAACTAACGAGCAAAATCACCAGCTAACATCATAATGACAGGATCAAATTCACACATAACAATATTAACTTTAAATGTAAATGGACTAAATTCTCCAATTAAAAGACACAGACTGGCAAATTGGATAAAGAGTCAGGACCCATCAGTGTGCTGTATTCAGGAAACCCATCTCACGTGCAGAGACATACATAGGCTCAAAATAAAAGGATGGAGGAAGATCTACCAAGCAAATGGAAAACAAAAAAAGGCAGGGGTTGCAATCCTAGTCTCTGATAAAACAGACTTTAAACCAACAAAGATCAAAAGAGACAAAGAAGGCCATTACATAATGGTAAAGGGATCAATTCAACAAGAGGAGCTAACTATCCTAAATATATATGCACCCAATACAGGAGCACCCAGATTCATAAAGCAAGTCCTGAGTGACCTACAAAGAGACTTAGACTCCCACACATTAATAATGGGAGACTTTAACACCCCACTGTCAACATTAGACAGATCAATGAGACAGAAAGTCAACAAGGATACCCAGGAATTGAACTCAGCTCTGCACCAAGCAGACCTAATAGACATCTACAGAACTCTCCACCCCAATTCAACAGAATATACATTTTTTTCAGCACCACACCACACCTATTCCATAATTGACCACATAGTTGGAAGTAAAGCTCTCCTCAGCAAATGTAAAAGAACAGAAATTATAACAAACTATCTCTCAGACCACAGTGCAATCAAACTAGAACTCAGGATTAAGAATCTCACTCAAAGCCGCTCAACTACATGGAAACTGAACAACCTGCTCCTGAATGACTACTGGGTACATAACGAAATGAAGGCAGAAATAAAGATGTTCTTTGAAACCAACGAGAACAAAGACACAACATACCAGAATCTCTGGGACACATTCAAAGCACTGTGTAGAGGGAAATTTATAGCACTAAATGCCCACAAGAGAAAGCAGGAAAGATCCAAAATTGACACCCTAACATCACAATTAAAAGAACTAGAAAAGCAAGAGCAAACACATTCAAAAGCTAGCAGAAGGCAAGAAATAACTAAAATCAGAGCACAACTGAAGGAAATAGAGACACAAAAAACCCTTCAAAAAATCAATGAATCCAGGAGCTGGTTTTTTGAAAGGATCAACAAAATTGATAGACCACTAGCAAGACTAATAAAGAAAAAAAGAGAGAAGAATCAAATAGATGCAATAAAAAATGATAAAGGGGATATCACCACCGATCCCACAGAAATACAAACTACCATCAGAGAATACTACAAACACCTCTACACAAATAAACTAGAAAATCTAGAAGAAATGGATACATTCCTCGACACATACACTCTCCCAAGACTAAACCAGGAAGAAGTTGAATCTCTGAATAGACCAATAACAGGAGCTGAAATTGTGGCAATAATCAATAGTTTACCAACCAAAAAGAGTCCAGGACCAGATGGATTCACAGCTGAATTCTACCAGAGGTACAAGGAGGAACTGGTACCATTCCTTCTGAAACTATTCCAATCAATAGAAAAAGAGGGAATCCTCCCTAACTCATTTTATGAGGCCAGCATCATTCTGATACCAAAGCCAGGCAGAGACACAACCAAAAAAGAGAATTTTAGACCAATATCCTTGATGAACATTGATGCAAAAATCCTCAATAAAATACTGGCAAACCGAATCCAGCAGCACATCAAAAAGCTTATCCACCATGATCAAGTGGGCTTCATCCCTGGGATGCAAGGCTGGTTCAATATACGCAAATCAATAAATGTAATCCAGCATATAAACAGAGCCAAAGACAAAAACCACGATTATCTCAATAGATGCCGAAAAAGCCTTTGACAAAATTCAACAACCCTTCATGCTAAAAACTCTCAATAAATTAGGTATTGATGGGACGTATTTCAAAATAATAAGAGCTATCTATGACAAACCCACAGCCAATATCATACTGAATGGGCAAAAACTGGAAGCATTCCCTTTGAAAACTGGCACAAGACAGGGATGCCCTCTCTCACCGCTCCTATTCAATACTGAGTAATTTTTTTCTATGCACACTTGACCTTCCATATTTAAGAAATAAAGGACAAAATCAAATGAAAATAAAATCACCTTGTCCTTACTTAATAAAATTTCCTGGCCAGGCGCGATGGCTCACGCCTGTAATCCCAGCACTTTGGGAGGCTGAGGCGGGCGGATTGCCTGAGCTCAGGACTTCGAGACCAGCCTGGCAACACGGTGAAACCCAGTCTCTACTAAAAAATACAAAAAATTAGCCCGGCATGGTAGCACATGCCTGTAATCCCAGCTACTCAGGAGGCTGAGGCAGGAGAATCGCTTGAACCTGGGAAGTGGAGGTTGCAGTGAGCCGAGATCGTGCCACTGGGCGACAGAGCGAGACTCCGTCTCAAAAAAAAAATTAATTAAAATAAAATTCCCCTTCCTAGGATTACTTTTAAATGTTTAATACATATGTGTTCCTAGAGTTTTCTTCTTATACAGTGCTCTCATTTGGCTAAGGGAATAATTTCTAGAACTTCACTTTATAGACTAAATAAGGTATTTTGCTACATTAGTCACTGATCCATCTCATATAAGTAAAGGTCAACAGATAGAACAGATTCTCGTAAACAGCCTAATAGGAATGAAATTGTGTACTGAACTTGTGAAAATCAAAAGAAAATAATTGTGTTTTTGAAGCAAAAGCTAATGTCAACCCACCTTCCAATTACCCATAACAGTTGAGAGTAGAAAGAGTTTATGTTTCAGGAATGCACATCTAATCATCCAAATTCACTCACTCACTCATTCAACAAATATTTGAGTCAAGAAAGTTACAAAACCTAACATTCTGCAAAAGGAAAACAAAACAATTTTTCTCCTCAATATTAATTCCTTTCTTTTTAGACTTATTCTGATTGTAGTGGTCAATTTTTACAAGAAATATAATGAAGAAAGAGGAAGGACAAAAAGAGGCTCAATAATTCATCATCTAAATATCTGGAGCTAAGGGCTTTCTTATGATATTTTATTTTTATATGGCTGAAAACATTTTATAGCACAACCAAAACTGATATGAATTCATTTTCTGAGAAGATTCCCATATATGCACGGGCTCCCTAAGTCCTGCCAGTTTTCTCCAGAATGAGAAGAGGGAACAAGTCATTCCTTTAGGGCAGCCACTTCACTAATATCTAGACGCATAAATTGCTCCACAACTTACTTCTCAGCAGGTGTATCTCCCATTTTGTACCTCAGAGTCCAATACGATATTATAATGGCCTTGAAGCCAGATAAACTCATTGATTCTATTTCCACTTTCCTCACTTAATTCCTATAGGATCTCAGACAAGTTATTTAATCTTGCTAAACTACAGTTTCCTCATGTGTAAAATGGGATGATAATATCAAATGCATAATGTTACTTAAAATAACATTATTTAGAATGTATGTGAAGTACTTAGCATATTGCCTAGTATAAACTGAGTACTTGTTAAATAAATAAAATTATTAATTAATGACAAGAAATATTTTTCCCATTTCCATAAGAACCATTATTCAACTGTTTAAAATTTTCGGTGAATATACATTTTAGACATCCTTCTGTATCTGTATACCTAAATAAACAACTGTTTTCTGTTACATTATGATTATGAAACCAATTCCTTTAGAGATTTACAACACAATGATGGATTAATGCACACACACTCTGTTTAATTTCCAATCATGTATTTTATGTGTCCTAAATTACCCTTTTTTCTATGAATCCATTCATAAAAGCAACAGTGAACAACTATTCAGATAAAGTACTGCTTTTATCAACTAATACACACTCTGGCCCCAGCTTTGCATGTAACCCACACAATAAAGAAAGATGTACACAAATATGTCCAGAAGAAGGATAGGAAGGACAGGGTACAGTAGAATCTAAATTTGCCAGAGCAGTCACCATTTCCATCATTACTTTAGAATTTAGCTTTTAAAGATAAAAAATAGTTGAAGTCATGTATGGAAAGGACAAAAACCACTATCACAAGTATATGCCTCCTTTCTGGACCATCACCACCAAGAATGTAACTCATAGGCAAAGTTCTTGAGAGTATCCTTTCTCCTGCCTCTGTCAGGTTGGTCTATAAACAAAAGCTGACTCAGATCACAAAGTAGAAAGAAGTTTGTCATAAAGTCTGAAAAACTGAGTTACATCTCCCATACCCCATGCCCTTGACATTATCATCACAGAGAAACTAAATCTGCCTTTCAAGGGTTCTCTTTAATTTCCAAACCATTAGGTAGTAAGACTAAACTTATTCTCAAAAAAAGACATTGATCTCTACTGGATAAAATCATAGTCCAGCAGAGAATACAATTTAGCTTGTTGAAGATCAGCTTAAAATCAACTCTATGAGATATAAGCAGCTTGCTTAACTTTTGATCAATTTAAAGTAGGTTCAATTTAGTGCCTGTTATCAAGAGTATTACATGAACTGTTCTCCCAGTATAACGTATATACACTGACATGTTTGCAATTCTCTTAATTCTTTTTCAAAGAGAATCATCACTTACTTGCTCATTGTGAGAAAGAAATGAATGCAGCATTGAAGTGTCAACAAGCATTAGGAAGACAGCTTTGTATGACCACAGCCTATTATTTTTTATGACCAATTTCTGGGCTGTCAACAACTAGAAAGGTATTTTAGTGAGGAAGACTGTTTTCAAATGTAACCTTAGCAGCGGCTGAAGTGTAAAAGTAATATCCTGTCAAATGAACACTGTGTACCTTGATTTGCCACATTTTAAAAACTGTGACAGCATCTTTTTTTATTAATCCCTATTATCAAATCCAAAGTATAAGCTGTATTTTCACTTTAAATCTACCACAAAATCATTTCAACTTTATAAGTATTATACCGTACCAATCTGTTAGTGCCATTAAAAATGCCAGTATAGACTGTCCCTAGCACAATCAGTAGGCAGATAAATAATTCAAAGCTGAAAAACTCTTTGACCTCAGACTTTGCCTTCTATTCTTACTCCACAGGGAGCCTCCTTTAGTTCTATGTTGGATGATAAAACATCACAAATTGGTCTGCTAACATGTTCCTGAAAGCAGATGGGTTTGCAGTGGTCGGTCTGATTTATTCACCTTGATGTTTGCCAAAAATCCATAGAGGCAGAGATGAAAAGAGAAAATATAAAAGTGTACTCTAGTTGCAAACATGCTACTAAAATCATGAACTAGAGACAATAATACAAAAGGGCTGGATCATTGCCAGCCTTTGTTCCTTGAATATGGGGTGGGGGGAGTCTTAAGTGTGGAAATACAGAAGCAAAGGAAAAAACCTCAATAAAATCATATTGTGAACAAACTGCTTCCCAGTCACTGCACACAAATGCTGCCAAACACTTCAGAATCAAAGCCAGACACAATGGTCAAAAATATAAGCCATATTCTAGCTTCAGGTAGAAATAAATCTCTTCAGGGAAAGAAGCTACAATGAGAACTAAAGGGAGGCGTGTAGAGAGGAGAGGACGAAGCGTATTTCGAGAGCAGTCAATATTCATGATGTGTACCTTGTTCTTGAAGGAAGTGCTGGGATTCCAGTGGAAAATACTTGAATAGAACAAAGCATTCTTTAAAGACTATAAGACTAGGAGGCACTGAGGCCTATGGGCATAGCCTGGATTTCCCACAGATTCTAAGTAATCTAGGTCAGAGTTCCAGATGACTGTCTACCACAAACATGTGGGGTTAGACTCCAGTTACACCTACCCAATACTCCTGTGGTCACATTTGGATATGCCTTCGTTCTCAGGGTTGCTGACTGTTCATTGTCCCAACTGGGGAACTTGACATTTTTGGAATTAATATCAACAGGCAATAATGAAACCTGCAACTCCTTTTAGGATAAAGCACCATAGCTGAAATCCATGCTGTTACTTTCCGAAGTTATAAATATTTCTCATTTTGCATTATCTTTAAAATTGTGATTTTTATCAAAACAGCTCTTTGAACTCTTTTGAAATACATACAAATTTTAAGAAAGAGCTCCATGTTTATTATCCACTGTATAAAAATAATATTCCTTTACTTCTCTGAAAAACTTTTAAAGAGTGCTTCGATAAAACTAGGGTTTGAGAAACATGCCTATTTTAACCTAATTATTACAGTTTATAATTTTATAACTTTGACCATGTGTGCATCCATATATGGCCAAAGTTAATAATTATTTTTATAAGCTGAATAATTTTTAGTAATTTTAGAAAACATTCTACCACTTCCTCAATCACTTTAGATGCTTCTCTTTGAAATTCTTCAAGCTCAATTATGTTTTCATAAATTGAATAATACAAAAAGTGACTGTAAGGCCAGATGCATTGGCTCACACCTGTAATCCCAGCACCTTGGTAGGCTGAGATGGGAGGATCACTTGAGCCCAGGAGGCGAGGCTCCAGTGATCTGAGATCATGCCACTGCACTCCAGCCTGGGCAACAGAGTAAGGCCCACTCTGAAAACAAACAAACACACACACACTACCCCACAAAAAGTGAACGTATATAAAAATTAAGCTTTCTGTTTGCTGAATAGTACAAACTCATTCATGTATTCAACAAAAACTTTTCTTAGCACTTACTAAGAATCAGGCACTATTCTAGATGTAGAAGATATAACTGTTAGCAAGAATAAGTCTCTGACTCTACGGAGCCTATAATCTGGTAGTAGGGAAGAAAGACATTAAGCATATAATGTTGATTGGTTAGTAAAAAGTAATATAAAAATAAAGCAAGATAGGCCAGGCACAGTTGCTCATGCCTGTAATCCCAGCACTTTGGGAGGCAGAGGTGGGTGGATCATGAGATCAGGAGTTGAAGACCAGCCTGGCCAAGATGGTGAAACCCCGTCTCTACTAAAAAAATACAAAAATTAGCCAGGTGTGGTGTCAGGTGCCTGTAATCCCAACTACTTGGGAGGCTGAGGCAGGAGAATCGCTTGAACTCAGGGGGGCGGAGGTTGCAGTGAACCAAGACTGCGCCACTGCACTCCAGCCTGGGTGACAGAGTAAGACTCCATCCAAAAAAAAAAAAAAAAGGCAAGATAAAGAGATAGTGAGGAAAGGGCTGACCTATTAGGTAGGGTGGTTTTGCCTCTCTGAGTGAGATTATTTAGAGAAATATTTAGAGAAAGAGTGTTACAGTCAGAGGGGAAAGCAATGTGAAAGGCCCTGAAGTGGAAGTGGAATGGCAATACTTCTCTTACCATTTTCCATCATTTTTCTGACCTTTATGTTTCCAGTGTCTTCAATGAATTGCCAAAAATGATTCCAATATTTTTCTGGATTAACTTACCTCAGAAATTTATAAGTATAATTTACATCATTTTTACAAGATGATTTAATTCATATATTTGAATAATATACTCCTACTTGCAAGTCTATATGAAAACTTCCCATTCAAATATTTATTTAACATTTGTTATGTGCAAGACATTGTAATAGGATCTGGGGGCTCAAAAAAACACAGGGCATAGTCCATTATTTCCTTAAATTGCAAAAGGCTTAAGATCAACTTGTAAAGACAAGATATAGGTATACATATCAATGGAAAGAAATATATGCTAACAGCCAAAAAAAACTATATGGGCAATGTTAGCTATGGGAAATCAGTGGAGAATGTCTGCAAAAGTGGTAAAGTGGTGAAAGTGGCCTTCCACAGGAGATGGGGCCTGGGCTGGGCTCAACAAAACCTACAGATCATGAGTGAATATATTAACAGCGAGTGTGGTATAAACAAACCCTCCAAAGCAGGAAAGCACTTGGCATGCCCAGTAGATGTGACTCTAATTGACTGCAGAAGGGAATTCATAAAAGAACAAGTTGAGAGAGAACCAGGATACAGAAAGGTGATTTTCAATGCAAACACTTTAACTTAATCCTGTGGACAATATGGAGCCATTTCATCTGTCATAGTCTCTGAAGTCTCAGTTTTGTTAAGCCATTGGTTCCAGTTTGGTTTCATCTGCTTTTACTATCTGAATGACATAGAGTGTAGTGAAAAATTAACCTTACTCAAAGAGAAGTTTGGCCTTTGCCACTGGCTAGTAATAGGTGACTTCTAGCCCATGGAACATCATGCCTGATGAGGGGGGTCCAAGGCATGGGGGCCTTGGACACTGAATAGTCTAACAATGTTATTTATGACTAAGACTTTGGACCATGCCATACAAGTTTTACCTACAGAGAGGCCGGAGAATAAAGGTCAGCCACATAGGTAATATGTGACAGAGCCTCAACAAAAAATCTGGGCAACAAGGATTGGGTGAGCTTCCCTAGCTGGCAGTACTCCACGTGTATTATCAAACACTGATGCCAGAAAAGTAACATCCATTACTCATGGGGAGAGGACAAAGGAAGCTCCATATTTGGTGCTTCTCCTGGACTCAACCCTTTGTGTTTCTTCCCTTGGCTGGCTTTAATCTCTATTCTATAGTTGTAATACACTGTAACTATGAGTATAACAGCTTTCTGTCAGCTTCCATGAGCATGTTTAATTAATTATGAACTTAAGGGTGGTTTTGGTAACTCCCTGAATTTACAACTGGTGTCAGAACTGAGGGCAGTGTGGATTGTGTTCTCCCTAACTTGCTGTTGGTTAGACTCCACAAATTGGCCATCAAAAAATTTGAAGATCTCACTGTGGTATTCTCACGAGTAAATTTTCTCTATTTAGATATACGTATCATTGTTCAACTTTTCCTCTGACATTAACAAAATATTATTCATAATAAAATAGTTCCTCAAGACTGTGTTAATTATGAAAACTTTCTAAAAATAACCTTTAATGTAGAACCTCCAAAGCTAAATATATTAGAACCACTGTTGACCATTTTACCACTTGTTCACTGAGGTTGTGAAAAATCTGTATCAGATCAGTGCAAGGAAGAATATTAAGTGAAAAGTTGATCACATAACTATTAAAATGATCTTGGAAATTCCTTTTCATAAAGTACCACCTGAAACTTCAAAGAAAAGTGAATGCATTCCAGTCGCTAATTCATTTCAAAAAAATTGAATAATAACTACATACCTACAAAAATTTCGGTATTTTTTAAAATATACTTTAAGTTTTAGGGTACATGTGCACAACGTGCAGGTTAGTTACATATGTATACATGTGCCATGCTGGTGTGCTGCACCCATTAACTCGTCATTTAGCATTAGGTATATTTCCTAATGCTATCCCTCCTGCCTTCCCTCACTCCACAACAGACCCCGGAGTGTGATGTTCCCCTTCCTGTGTCCATGTGTTCTCATTGTTCAATTCCCACCTATGAGTGAGAACATGCGGTGTTTGGTTTTCTGTCCTTGTGACAGTTTGCTGAGAATGATGGTTTCCAACTTCATCCATGTCCCTACAAAGGACATGAACTCATCATATTTTATGGCTGCATAGTATTCCATGGTGTATATGTGCCACATTTTCTTAATCCAGTCTATCATTGTTGGACATTTGGGTTGGTTCCAAGTCTTTGCTATTGTGAATAGTGCCGCAATAAACATACGTGTGCATGTGTCTTTACACCATCATGATTTATAGTCCTTTGGGTATATACCCAGTAATGGGATGGCTGGGTCAAATGGTATTCCTAGTTCTAGATCCTTGAGGAATCACCACACTGACTTCCACAATGGTTGAACTAGTTTACAGTCCCACCAACACTGTAAAAGTGTTCCTATTTCTCCACATCCTCTCCAGCACCTGTTCTTTCCTGACTTTTTAATGATCACCATTCTAACCGGTGTGAGATGGTATCTCATTGTGGTTTTGATTTGCATTTCTCTGATGGCCAGTGATGATGAGCATTTTTTCATGTGTCTCTTGGCTGCATAAATGTCTTCTTTTGAGAACTGTCTATTCATATCCTTCGCCCACTCTTTGATGGGGTTGTTTGCTTTTTGTTTGTAGATTTGTTAGAGTTCATTGTAGATTCTGGATATTAGCCCTTTGTCAGATGAGTAGATGGCAAAAATTTTCTCCCATTTTGTAGGTTGCCTGTTCACTCTGATGGTAGTTTCTTTTGCTGTGCAGAAGCTCTTTAGTTTAATTAGATCCCATTTGTCAATTCTGGCTTTTGTTGCCATTACTTTTTGTGTTTTAGACATGAAGTCCTTGCCCATGCCTATGTCCTCAATGGTATTGCCTAGGTTTTCTTCTAGGGTTTTTATGGTTTTAGGTCTAACGTTTAAGTCTTTAATCCATCTTGAATTAATTTTTGTATAAGGTGTAAGGAAGGGATCCAGTTTCAGCTTTCTACATATGGCTAGCCAGTTTTCCCAACACCATTTATTAAATAGGGAATCCTTTCCCCATTGCTTGTTTTTCTCAGGTTTGTCAAAGATCAGATGGTTTAGATATGCCGTGTTACTTCTGAGGGCTCTGTTCTGTTCCATTGGTCTATATCTCTGTTTTGCTACCAGTACCATGCTGTTTTGGTTACTGTAGCCTTGTAGTATAGTTTGAAGTCAGGTAGCTTGATGCCTCCAGCTTTGTTCTTTTGGCTTAGGATTGAATTGGCAGTGCAGGTTCATTTTTGGTTCCATATGAACTTTAAAGTAGTTTTCTCCAGTTCTGTGAAGAAAGTCATTGGTAGCTTGATGGGGATGGCATTGAATCTATAAATTACCTTGGGGAGTATGGCCATTTTCACGATATTGATTCTTCCTACCCATGAGCATGGAATGTTCTTCCATTTGTTTGTATCCTCTTTTATTTCCTTGAGCAGTGGTTTGTAGTTCTCCTTGAAGAGGTCCTTCATGTCCCTTGTAAGTTGGATTCCTAGGTATTTTATTCTCTTTGAAGCAATTATGAATGGGAGTTCTTCCTGGTTTAGTCTTGGGAGGGTGTATGTGTCGAGGAATTTATCCATTTCTTCTAGATTTTCTAGTTTATTTGTGTAGAGGTATTTGTAGTATTCTCTGATGGTAGTTTGTATTTCTGTGGGATCGGTGGTGATATCCCCTTTATCATTTTTTATTGCGTCTATTTGATTCTTCTCTCTTTTCTTCTTTATTAGTCTTGCTAGTGGTCTATCAATTTTGTTGATCCTTTCAAAAAACCAGCTCCTGTATTCATTGATTTTTTGAAGGGTTTTTTGTGTCTCTATTTCCTTCATTTCTGCTCTGATCTTAGTTATATTTTGCCTTCCGCTAGCTTTTGAATGTGTTTCATCTTGCTTCTCTAGTTCTTTTAATTGTGATGTTAGGGTGTCAATTTTAGATCTTTCCTGCTTTCTCTTGTGGGTATTTAGTGCCATAAATTTCCCTCTATACACTGCTTTGAATGTGTCCCAGAGATTCTGGTACGTTGTGTCTTTGTTCTCGTTGGTTTCAAAGAACATCTTTATTTCTGCCTTCATTTCGTTATGTACCTGGCAGTCATTCAGGAGCAGGTTGTTCAGTTTCCATGTAGTTGAGTGATTTTGAGTGAGTGTCTTAATCCTGAGTTCTAGTTTGATTGCACTGTGGTCTGAGAGACAGTTTGTTATAATTTCTGTTCTTTTACATTTGCTGAGGAGTGCTTTACTTCCAACTATGTGGTCAATTATGGACTAGGTGTGGTGTGGTGCTGAAAAGAATGTATATTCTGTTGATTTGGGGTGAAGAGTTCTGCAGATGGCTGTTAGGTCTGCTTGGTGCAGAGCTGAGTTCAATTCCTGGATATCCTTGTTAACTTTCTGTCTCATTGATCTGTCTAATGTGGACAGTGGGGTGTTAAAGTCTCCCATTATTATTGTGTGGGAGTCTAAGTCTCTTGCAGGTCTCTAACGGCTTCCATTATGAATCTGGGTGCTCCTGTATTGGGTGCATATATATTTAGGATAGTTATTCTTGTTGAATTGATCCCTTTACCATTATGTAATGGCCTTCTTTGTCTCTTTTGATCTTTGTTGGTGTAAAGTCTGTTTTATCAGAGACTAGGATTGCAACCCGTACCTTTTTTTGTTTTCCATTTCCTTGGTAGATCTTCCTCCGTCCCTTATTGTGAGCCTATGTGTGTCTCTGCACGTGAGATGGGTTTCCTGAATACAGCACACTGATGGGTCCTGACTCTTTATCCAATTTGCCAGTCTGTGTCTTTTAATTGGAGCATTTATTCCATTTACATGTAAAGTTAATATTGTTATCTGTGAATTTGATCCTGTCATTATGATGTTAGGTGGTTATTTTGCTTGTTAGTTGATGCAGTTTCTTCCTAGCCTCGATGGTCTTTACAATTTGGCATGATTTTGCAGTGGCTGGTACTGTTTGTTCCTTTCCATGTTTAGCGCTTCCTTCAGGAGCTCTTTTAGGGCAGGCCTGGTGGTGACAAAATCTCTCAGCATTTGCTTGTCTGTAAAGGAGTTTATTTCTCCTTCACTTATGAAGCTTAGTTTGGCTGGATATGAAATTCTGGGCTGAAAATTCTTTTCTTTAAGAATGTTGAATATTGGCCCCCACTCTCTTCTGGCTTGTAGACTTTCTGCCGAGAGATCTGCTGTTAGTCTGATGGGCTTCCCTTTGTGGGTAACCCAACCTTCCTCTCTGGCTGCCCTTAACATTTTTTCCTTCATTTCCACTGTGGTGAATCTGACAATTATGTGTCTTAGAGTTGCTCTTCTCGAGGAGTATCTTTGTGGCATTCTCTATATTTCCTGAATCTGAATGTTGCCTGCCTTGCTAGATTGGGGAAGTTCTCCTGGATAATATCCTGCAGAGTGTTTTCCAACTTGGTTCCATTCTCCCCGTCGCTTTCAGGTACACCTGTCACACGTAGATTTGGTCGTTTCACATAGTCCCATATTTCTTGGAGGCTTTGTTCATTTCTTTTTATTCTTTTTTCTCTAAACTTCTCTTCTCGCTTCATTTCATTCATTTGATTTTCCATCACTGATACCCTTTCTTCCAGTTGATCAAATCGGCTACTGAGGCTTGTGCATTCGTCACGTAGTTCTCATGTCTTCGTTTTCAGCTCCATCAGCTCCTTTAAGCACTTCTCTGTATTGGTTATTCTAGTTATACATTCGTCTAAATTTTTTTCAAAGTTTTTAACTTCTTTGCCTTTGGTTTGAATTTCGTCCTGTAGCTTGGAGTAGCTTGATCGTCTGAAGCCTTCTTCTCTCAACTCGTCAAAGTCATTCTCCATCCAGCTTAGTTCCATTGCTGCTGAGGAGCTGCGTTTTTGGAGGAGGAGAGGCACTCTGACTTTTAGAGTTTCCATTTTTTCTGCTCTGTTTTTTCCCCATCTTTGTGGTTTTATCTACCTTTGGTCTTTGATGATGGTGACGTATAGATGGGGTTTTGGTGTGGATGTCCTTTCTGTTTGTTAGTTTTTCTTCTAACAGTCAGGACCCTCAGCTGCAGGTCTATTGGAGTTTGTGGGAGTTCCACTCCAGTCCCTGTTTGCCTGGGTATCAGCAGTGGTGGCTGCAGAACAGCAGATATTGGTGAACAGCAAATGTTGCTGCCTGATCATTCCTCTGGAAGTTTTGTCTCAGAGGAGTACTCGGCCGTGTGAGATGTCAGTCTGCCCCTACTGCAGGGTGCCTCCCAGTTAGGCTACGCGTGGGTCAGAGACCCACTTGAGGAGGCAGTCTGTCCATTCTCAGATCTCCAGCTGCGTGCTGGGAGAACCATTACTCTCTTCAAAGCGGTCAGACAGGGACATTTAAGTCTGCTGAGGAATCTGCTGCCTTTTGTTTGGCTATGCTGTGCCCCCAGAGGTGGAGTCTACAGAGGTAAGCAGGCCTCCTTAAGCTGCGGTGGGCTCCACTCAGTTCGAGCTTCCCAGCCGCTTTGTTTACCTACTCAAGCCTCAGCAATGGCGGGCGCCCCTCCCACAGCCTCGCTGCTGCCTTGCAGTTTGATCTGAGACTCCTGTGCTAGCAATGAGTGAGGCTCCGTGGGCATAGGACCCTCCAAGCCAGGCGCGGGCTATAATCTAAAGGTGTGCCATTTGCTAAGACCATTGGAAAAGTGCAGTATTCGGGTGGGAGTGACCCGATTTTCCAGGTGCCATATGTCACCCCTTTCTTTGACTAGCTGCACCCACTGTCCTGCACCCATTTTCTGACACTCTCCAGTGAGATGAACCCAGTGCTTCTGTTGGAAATGCGAAATCACCCGTCTTCTGCGTCGCTCACGCTGGGAGATGTAGACTGGAGCTGTTCCTATTTGGCCTCTTGGCTGCACCCCCTGGTAATGTATATGTTTTAAAAATCCTTCAGGATCAACAGGTATTCTATCTGGGGATGTGGATTTTGAAAAAGACAATTAATTTTTATGCCAATTCAGGTTATATAATTGCCATTGTATGCCCTTTTATAACAGCACATTTCCATTAACATAAGGTTTTAGTTACCTAAAAGTAGAAGATGCATGGATCACAACAACATCAATACAAAAGAATAGGAATGGCTAAGAACAGAAGGATTTGTTCCTGAGAGACTATAACAGTTCTAGTTCTCAATTATAAAGGTCACTTCAGTAAATTAAATATCCTCATTCCATCCAGTAACTGTATGATGGAGCATTTTTTGTTTTACAAAGCCTGGTTAATATTACAACTTTCTTTCCTGATACTCTACTTTCTTCATTTTTCACTATTCGAGAGGGTCAGTTGCTGTTTCTGCTACAGATTTTGTGATTATACTTCCTCCAGAAGTAGGCATAATATTTGGAGATAGGGCAAAGCTGAAACTTGATTAATCCCTTTTAGAATAAAGCCAAATCATAAATAGCAGTCTAGAGATTTTTCTTCTACATTTTTTCTCTATATATCAATTCAGAAATGAGGATTACCATTCTAAGAACTGGAAGACTCAGGTAAATATACATCCTAGCTGCTGGACACAGTATATTCCTTTTTAGTTCCTTTGCTGGCTCCTTCTCTACTTACTTCTTGTCTTCTGCTTTGCTTACTCTCCACACTTTCAAGGGAAATCTTATCCATTCCTGTGACTTCAACTACCATTTATTTTATCTCTCCTGGATCTTTATTAAAGTAGGTGTCATACCTTACTAATTATAAGAATCACGTGAGATGCTTTTTCAGAACATAGTACCTCCAGGCAGTCTGCATTTTTAACAAGTGTCTATGTAGCCACCAGCAAAAGGCCACAAACTGTTACTTGAGAATTACTGGTCTAACAGAACTTTCATTCCACATTTAAAACTGAAGTATAAAACTCAATTCAGAATTATCCACATAGTCAAGTATCCTTTTTATTCTCAACCGCAATGGAGTGAACTTCCACTCCCATCACTAAGCTGACATACAAATAATTATTTTGGAAGTCTTGTCTCCCTTTTCCTCACTTAATCAATTCGTCCTCTAGGCTTTCACTCTGCTATTTTAATTAACTAGTGTCCATGTCTGAATACCCCCATTTGATTGCCACCTCTAGGTCGACCATGACCAATTCTTATTTACTTTGTTTCCCTGGTGCCTGAGACTTTAGTAGGCACTAGGTAAATGAGTACTGAATAAATCAGAATTAGAGAAGCAGGCAGGGTAACCATCTATTCCCCAAGATGGAGACAGACTCAAGTTTTAAAATGTTTGCTTTGAAGTTTAAATTCTCTCCCAACATCATTTAGACAACAGGAGTAGCAAAAGCTAATAATTTGTACCATAACCAAAGATAATGACAAGGATTCACAGACTTCCAAACCAAAATTTCACAGCAAACCGCATACCAACGGGGGGCACCCAAAATGGCCGAATAGGAACAGCTCTGTCTACAGCTCCTAGCATGAGCGACGCAGAAGACAGGTGATTTCTGCATTTCCATCTGAGGTACCAGGTTCATGCACTAGGGAGTGCCAGACAGTGGGCACAGGACAGTGGGTGCAGCGCACTGTGTGCGAGCCAAAGCAGGGCAAGACATTGCCTCACTCAGGAAGTGCAAGGGGTCAGGGAGTTCCCTTTGCTAGCCAAAGAAAGGGGTGACAGACGGCACCTGGAAAATCGGGTAACTCCCACCCGAATACTGCACTTTTCCAACGGGCTTAAAAAACGGCGCACCAGGAGATTATATCCTGCACCTGGCTCGGAGGGTCCTACACCCACGGAGTCTCGCTGATTGCTAGCACAACAGTCGGAGATCAAACTGCAAGGCGGCAGCGAGGCTGGGGGAGGGGCGCCCACCATTGCCCAGGCTTGCTTAGGTAAACAAAGCAGCCGGGAAGCTCGAACTGGATGGAGCCCACCACAGCTCAAGGAGGCCTGCCTGCCTCTGTAGGCTCCACCTCTGGGGGCAGGGCACACACAAACAACAAGACAGCAGTAACCTCCACAGACTTAAATGTCCCTGTCTGACAGCTTTGAAGACAGCAGTGGTTCTCTCAGCACACAGCTGGAGATCTGAGAATGGACAGAATGCCTCCTCAATTGGGTCCCTGACCCCTGACCCCTGAGAAGCCTAACTGGGAGGCACCCCCAAGTAGGGGCAGACCGACACCTGACATGGCAGGGTACTCCTCTGAGACAAAACTTCCAGAGTAACGATCAGACAGCAGCATTTGTGGTTCACGAAAATCCGCAGTTCTGCAGCCACTGCTGCTGATACCCAGGCAAATAGGGTCTGGAGTGGACATCCAGCAAACCCCAAAAGACCTGCAGCTGAGGGTCCTGTCTGTTAGAAGGAAAACTAACAAAACAGGACATCCACACCAAAAACCCATCTGTACATAACCATCATCAAAGACCAAAAGTAGATAAAACCACAAAGATGGGGAAAAAACAGAGCAGAAAAACTGGAAACTGTAAAAAGCAGAGCACCTCTTCTCCTCCAAAGGAACGCAGTTCCTCACCAGCAACGAAACAAAGCAGGATGGAGAATGACTTTGACGAGTTGAGAGAAGAAGGCTTCAGACGATCAAACTACTCCGAGCTACAGGATGAAATTCAAACCAAAGGCAAAGAAGTTAATAACTTTGAAAAAAATTTAGACAAATGTATAACTAGAATAACCAATATAGAGAAGTGCTTAAAGGAGCTGATGGAGCTGAAAGCCAAGGCTCGAGAACTACGTGAAGAATGCAGAAGCCTCAGGAGCCGATACGATCAACTGGAAGAAAGGGTATCAGTGATGGAAGATCAAATGAATGAAATGAAGCAAGAAGGGAAGTTTAGAGAAAAAAGAATAAAAAGAAATGAGCAAAGCCTCCAAGAAATATGGGACTATGTGAAAAGACCAAATCTACGTCTGATTGGTGTACCTGAAAGTGACGGGGAGAATGGAACCAAGTTGGAAAACACTCTGCAGGATGTTATTCAGGAGAACTTCCCCAATCTAGCAAGGCAGGCCAACATTCAGATTCAGGAAATACAGAGAATGCCACAAAGATACTCCTCAAGAAGAGCAACTCCAAGCCACATAAATGTCAGATTCACCAAAGCTGAAATGAAGGAAAAAATGTTAAGGGCAGCCAGAGAGGAAGGTTGGGTTACCCACAAAGGGAAGCCCATCAGTCTAACAGCAGATCTCTCGGCAGAAAGTCTACAAGCCAGAAGAGAGTGGGGGAAGCCAGAAGAGAGTGGGGGCCAATATTCAACATTCTTAAAGAAAAGAATTTTCAACCCAGAATTTCATATCCAGCCAAACTAAGTTTCATAAGTGAAGGAGAAATAAACTCCTTTACAGACAAGCAAATGCTGAGAGATTTTGTCACCACCAGGCCTGCCCTAAAAGAGCTCCTGAAGGAAGCGCTAAACATGGAAAGGAACAACCGGTACCAGCCACTGCAAAATCATGCCAAATTGTAAAGACCATCGAGGCTAGGAAGAAACTGCATCAAC
The DNA here is from genome assembly GCF_000001405.40 of Homo sapiens. Classification (NCBI taxonomy): domain Eukaryota; kingdom Metazoa; phylum Chordata; class Mammalia; order Primates; family Hominidae; genus Homo; species Homo sapiens. The sequence goes on along the minus strand of NC_000001.11, from coordinate 174,614,128 downwards.
TAACAAGCAAAATCACCAGCTAACATCATAATGACAGGATCAAATTCACACATAACAATATTAACTTTACATGTAAATGGAATAAATGCTCCAATTAAAAGACACAGACTGGCAAATTGGATAAAGAGTCAAGACCCATCAGTGTGCTGTATTCAGGAAACCCATCTCATGTGCAGAGACACACATAGGCTCAAAATAAAGGGATGGAGGAAGATCTACCAAGCAAATGGAAAACAAAAAAAGGCAGGGGTTGCAATCCTAGTCTCTGATAAAACAGACTTTACACCAACAAAGATCAAAAGAGACAAAGAAGGCCATTACATAATGGTAAAGGGATCAATTCAACAGGAAGAGCTAACTATCCTAAATATATATGCACCCAATACAGGAGCACCCAGATTCATAATGCAAGTCCTGAGTAACCTACAAAGAGACTTAGACTCCCACACAATAATAATGGGAGACTTTAACACCCCACTGTCAACATTAGACAGATCAATGAGACAGAAAGTTAACAAGGATATCCAGGAATTGAACTCAGCTCTGCACCAAGCAGACCTAACAGCCATCTGCAGAACTCTCCACCCCAAATCAACAGAATATACATTCTTTTCAGCACCAAACCACACCTATTCCAAAATTGACCACATAGTTGGAAGTAAAGCTCTCCTCAGCAAATGTAAAAGAACAGAAATTAAAACAAACTGTCTCTCAGACCACAGTGCAATCAAACTAGAACTCAGGATTAAGAAACTCACTCAAAATCACTCAACTACATGGAAACTGAACAACCTGCTCCTGAATGACTACTGGGTACATAACAAAATGAAGGCAGAAATAAAGATGTACTTTGAAACCAACGAGAACAAAGACACAACATACCAGAATCTCTGGGACACATTCAAAGCACTGTGTAGAGGGAAATTTATAGCACTAAATGCCCACAAGAGAAAGCAGGAAAGATCCAAAATTGACACCCTAACATCACAATTAAAAGAACTAGAAAAGCAAGAGCAAACACATTCAAAAGCTAGCAGAAGGCAAGAAATAACTAAAATCAGAGCAGAACTGAAGGAAATAGAGACACAAAAAACCCTTCAAAAAATTAATGAATCTAGGACCTGGTTTTTTGAAAGGATCAACAAAATTGATAGACCACTAGCAAGACTAATAAAGAAGAAAAGAGAGAAGAATCAAATAGACGCAATAAAAAATGATAAAGGGGATATCACCACCGATCCCACAGAAATACAAACTACCATCAGAGAATACTACAAATACCTCTACGCAAATAAACTAGAAAATCTAGAAGAAATGGATACATTCCTTGACACGTACACTCTCCCAAGACTAAACCAGGAAGAAGTTGAATCTCTGAATAGACCAATAACAGGCTCTGAAATTGTGGCAATAATCAATAGCTTACCAATCAAAAAGAGTCCAGGACCAGATGGATTCACAGCCGAATTCTACCAGAGGTACAAGGAGTAACTGGTACCATTCCTTCTGAAACTATTCCAATCAATAGAAAAAGAGGGAATCCTCCCTAACTCATTTTATGAGGCCAGCATCATCCTGATACCAAAGCCGGGCAGAGACACAACCAAAAAAGAGAATTTTAGACCAATATCCTTGGTGAACATTGATGCAAAAATCCTGAATAAAATACTGGCAAACCGAATCCAGCAGCACATCAAAAAGCTTATCCACCATGATCAAGTGGGCTTCATCCCTGGGATGCAAGGCTGGTTCAATATACACAAATCAATAAATGTAATCCAGCATATAAACAGAACCAAAGATAAAAATCACATGATTATCTCATTAGATGCAGAAAAGGCCTTTGACAAAATTCAACAATGCTTCATGCTAAAAACTCTCAATAAATTAGGTATTGATGGGACATATCTCAAAATAATAAGAGCTATCTATGACAGACCCACAGCCAATATCATACTGAATGGGCAAAAACTGGAAGCATTCCCTTTGAAAACAGGTGCAAGACAGGGATGCCCTCTCTCACCACTCCTATTCAACATAGTGTTAGAAGTTCTGGCCAGGGCAATTAGGCAGGAGAAGGAAATAAAGGGTATTCAATTAGGAAAAGAGGAAATCAAATTGTCCCTGTTTGCAGATGACATGATTGTATATCTAGAAACCCCAATGTCTCAGCCCAAAATCTCCTTAAGCTGATAAGCAACTTCAGCAAAGTCTCAGGAAACAAAATCAATGTGCAAAAATCACAAGCATTCTTAAACACCAATAACAGACAAACAGAGAGCCAAATCATGAGTGAACTCCCATTCACAATTGCTTCAAGGAGAATAAAATACCTGGGAATCCAACTTAAAAGGGACGTGAAGGACCTCTTCAAGGAGAACTACAAACCACTGCTCAAGGAAATAAAAGAGGATACAAACAAATGGAAGAACATTCCATGCTCATGGGTAGGAAGAATCAATATCGTGAAAATGGCCATACTGCCCAAGGTAATTTATAGATTCAATGCCATCCCCATCAAGCTACCAATGACTTTCTTCACAGAATTGGAAAAAACTACTTTAAAGTTCATATGGAACCAAAAAAGAGCCCGCATCGCCAAGTCAATCCTAAGCCAAAAGAACAAAGCTGGAGGCATCATGCTACCTGACTTCAAACTATACTACAAGGCTACAGTAACCAAAACAGCATGGTAGTGGTACCAAAAGAGAGATATAGACCAATGGAACAGAACAGAGCCCTCAGAAGTAACACCACATATCTACAACTATCTGATTTTTGACAAACCTGAGAAAAACAAGCAATGGGGAAAGGATTCCCTATTTAATAAATGGTGCTGGGAAAACTGGCTAGCCATGTGTAGAAAGCTGAAACTGGATCCCTTCCTTACACCTTATACAAAAATTAATTCAAGATGGATAAAAGACTTAAATGTTAGACCTAAAACCATAAAAACCCTAGAAGAAAACCTAGGCAATACCATTCAGGACATAGGCATGGGCAAGGACTTCATGTCTAAAACACAAAAAGTAATGGCAACAAAAGCCAAAATTGACAAATGGGATCTAATTAAACTAAAGAGCTTCTGCACAGCAAAAGAAACTACCATCAGAGTGAACAGGCAACCTACAGAATGGGAGAAAATTTTCGCAACCTACTCATCTGACAAAGGGCTAATATCCAGAATCTACAATGAACTCAAACAAATTTACAAGAAAAAAACAAACAACCCCATCAAAAAATAGGCAAAGGACATGAACAGACACTTCTCAAAAGAAGACATTTATGCAGCCAAAAAACACATGAAAAAATGCTCATCATCACTGGCCATCAGAGAAATGCAAATCAAAACCACAATGAGATACTATCTCACACCAGTTAGAATGGTGATCATTAAAAAGTCAGGAAAGAACAGGTGCTGGAGAGGATGTGGAGAAATAGGAATACTTTTACACTGTTGGTGGGACTGTAATCTAGTTCAACCATTGTGGAAGTCAGTGTGGCGATTCCTCAGGGATCTAGAACTAGAAATACCATTTGACCCAGCCATCCCATTACTGGGTATATACCCAAAGGACTATAAATCATGCTGCTATAAAGACACGTGCACACGTATGTTTATTGTCCACTATTCACAATAGCAAAGACTTGGAACCAACCCAAATGTCCAACAATGATAGACTGGATTAAGAAAATGTGGCACATATACACCATGGAATACTATGCAGCCATAAAAAATGATGAGTTCATGTCCTTTGTAGGGACATGGATGAAATTGGAAATCATCATTCTCAGTAAACTATCACAAGGACAAAAAACCAAACACTGCATGTTCTCACTCATAGGTGGGAATTGAACTATGAGAACACATGGACACAGGAAGGGGAACATCACACTCTGGGGACTGTTGTGGGGTGGGGGGAGGGGGAAGGGATAGCATTAGGAGATATACCTAATGCTAAATGACGAGTTAATGGGTGCAGCACACCAGCATGGCACATGTATACATATGTAACTAACCTGCACATTGTCCACATGTACCCTAAAACTTAAAATATAATAATAATAAAATAAATTTAAAAAAAGAAAAAAAAAACGCATACCAAAATGTCTTTTCTAATATCAAAGATGATATATAAAAATAATTTTACATATTATATAAACTATGAACAAAACAAAATGGATCTCTATCTTAAAACAGAAATGGAAAATCCTACTATTATTTGATTCATCCAAAATAATTTAAAAAACTGTTTGGGGTTTGCTCATTGAGCTTTACTTCATTTTATATGAAAAGAAGTACAAAAGATAAAGATACATTCAATCCCTGCATTATTTTAAAATCACTCTTATTAAAGTGACAGATGAATTACATAATTAAGGTGTATAAAACACTGTTAGAAGCAAATTACAATAGATTTTGTTTTTAAATCTCAGGTATCTGTCTTAGTTTACATGTTAACTTTTTCACAGAAAAATAGCTTGAAGTAGTAGATTGACATGAAGGTTAGGTAAGGATCAGAAAATTCCCATTCAGTGTACCTCTGGATTATAGTGCTTAACAGGCTCAGGTTCTTTGCTGTTCTTAATACCATATGAGACAGAAACAGTTTATGGTTACAGTCCTCCTCTCGTTTGAAATTCCCTTCTACCCCTTTAATCAATATACATTTTTGCTTTTGATATGTATGTCATGAGGAACAATGATTTTTATGTAACTTTTTCCTAATTGACTCTCATGCAGCTAAGAGAACAATTTTAAAGTCTGAATTTGTAATAAAAAGAAAGAAAATGCAACTGCTGTTAAGAAACTGTAAAAGTAACTTCACTTATTCCTTAAGTATTAAGTTGCCATTTGTGGAAGGTATTTTGACTTGATTCAGTGGCTCTAGGGCTAAGAGAAGGTTTCTTTCCAGGTATTTGTCTGGCCTTGCCTTTTTATTTAGAACCAGTTCTACAAATAAAAACTCTTTCATTTTTCCAAAGTTTTAAGTGGTTGATAACAAATTACATATACAAGACTGTTCTTACTTTGCATAGTGATTAGTTATAAGTGTTAAGGTAATTAGGCATAAGTGTTAAGTAGTTCACAATATGAAAATATTATTAGTGTTGAGGTAATTCGGTATAAGTGTTAAGTAGTTCACAATATGAAAATATTATGAAAAATAGAGAATATTATTCAATATATTGTCTAAGTAGACAAACTAACCATTGTTTGGGCCAGCTAAACCATGTGTTCTTTTTTGGCACTACCATCTTTTAATAGGTCAGGATATTATCACTTTATGCCTAAACTATTTCAAATAATCAATTTCCTAAACTTTCTGCCCTTCAATCAGTCTGTACAGTACTTTTAGGTTAATCTACCTGAAGCACTATTTTGTTCCCATATACCATTCAAATCCATCTGTAATATTGTCCCGTTACCCTCAAATAGAAAAAAAGGACTTATTCCATTCCATCTGAATCACATTCCATTCTGCAAAGTTGTGCTTTTCTTTAAGCTTCAAGGCTTTTGTGTAATTTCCTCTGTCTGAATGATCCTCCATCCCACATTTTCCCCTACTGAAATCTTGCTCATCTATACAGATCATCAGATTCCTTCCATAGTGCTTTCATAATGTAAAACACCCAGGTAAAAACACCTTTTTCCCTTATGTTACTTACTGTAATACCAAGTTGTATATACTTATATAATACTTTTTTACATATTGCCTTGGGCTAAGACATATCTTACTTCCACTAACTGAAAGATAAGCTCCTGGCCACTACAGGCAGCACCTTATAGTAACACATCTAGTACCCTAAATGTAGTAGGGGCTGAACAAATATTTGTTGAATAATTATTATTATAAACGATCCATATGATAGAAAGAAGAAAATGGTGAACCAAGGCAGAAAGGCAGAGTATGAAGAAAAAGGTTATATTGCTGCTTAAGTGGAAGGTGAGTCATGCCTCACACTTAGGCACATATGAAAGCTAGGATGGGGCAAATTTTTCTTTGTTGGGCACTCACATCTGCCCTGCGAAATGCTTTGAGCTGTCTCCCTAGGAAGAGAGTTTATAAAATCCATTGTAAGGCAGAATGTTATCCAATGGAACTACTCCCATAATCAATGCCATGATTCACGACATTTGTACCCACATGAAACAAATTATCTCATTGTTCAAAATCACACTTTCGTAAGGGTTGCTTGGAGGTAACCCTAGAGCAAGTCATCACACTGTAGTTCTCAATACTATCTTCCTGATGTATAGGAAAGAATAACCAAAGAAGCTTTTACACAGGTTTCTAAAACACACATTTTGCTTAAATCTTTATTCAACTCAGCCTAGGCTAAAATGCTTTATGAAGAGGATGTTATGCTCCAATTATCCAAATAGCCACTGGAAATAACACTCTTCCAAGTTAGTATTTCCTGAAAATCATGGCTGTGATATTGTATTCAATCTCCTAATGTAAGTGATACAGCCCTGAAATAAAACTGGAATAGTGTAAACCAGATAATTTTTCACAAATGCAGCAAATTTGAGAGCCACAGAGAGCACAAAGGAGTGGTGGCTGATTTTGAGTCTTTAAACAACAAAGATGCAGCATTGTGATCCTGGGTATCAGCCCAGAGGACACCTCTGCTTTTGCCACCAGAGGAATGTCTGTAACCCAACAGTTAGGGAGAGATGGAGATGAGACTGGGCTAAGTGGGGCAAAAGAGTGGTCTGGCCCTACCCTCTGAGAGCAGGTATTGCAACACCACAGGACCACTGCCCGTAGAGACTGAAGGCAACTTTGGCAAAGTGATGGGGGAAAAAGATTACATAAGTGGAGGGCATGATAATATTTCATGAAAAGAATTCATAACTTGTTAGCTCTTTGTTTCTATTTTACTGAAGGATTTCAGTAGGGCAACTACTACAAGAATCAATGCCCCTATGAAGAAAATTTAGGGGTGACAGTTAAAATATAAAATGCCCAGTGAAACCACATGGAATTTAATACTGCATTGAACATACTGATATTAAAAATTAGTCCTTAATTATATGAAACAAAAATGTAAGTGGGTGTCTTGTATTTTTATTTGCTACATCTGGCAGTCCTACCCAGATTACTAATATCATAGTGTTGGGAAAAGCAATTCCCAAGTATCTTCATAAATACTTGGGTTTTATTCTTGATTAAACAGGTTTTAATATTTATTTATGAAAGTTACCATATTTAATATAAACTAGTCACATTTTACTTCAGACGCTAGCTGTGTTACATTTATTTAATTAAGAGGCAAAAATACTAGTTAAAAGCTACAGATACTGCTATGAATAGAATCAGAAAAATCTGATCTCAGCTGTAAGACAGAGGAAAATGAGGACTTTGAGATAACAATGGATAGACATCATCATTAGTGAGAATACTAAGCCTGTGAGGCACAGAAAAACTGAATTTTGGCTTGGAAAACAAGATCAAATTAAGATATACCAGACTGGTCTGAGGTTACCAAAGACATGAAGGCAGAGAACAGATAAAGATTCCCGCTAGTGAATAAATGACAAAGATACTGAAAATGTCTGCTTTGTCAACACTGTCTCTCCTCTGATCAAATGCCAAATAAAGACCAACCAATTAACGTCTTAAAAAATGTTCTGGTCACAGAAGAAAGTAGCTTTAAAATTGGCATAATGAAATAAACCCGTGGTATGCCTTATCAATGGACAATTTATTTCTCTAGTATTGTCATTGCAAATAATGATGTGAAGGAGTATCAGGGCACAATCTGAAAGACAGTGGGTGTGGCAGGCTAGGGACAAGCACCTTTATATACAGCTATGAATTCAGGAAAAATCAAAATTTATGAGTTGCATATTTTAAACAATTAACATCTACACTTAGCCATTTGTAATTATTTTTCTGAAGGTTTTAAATTTTTATTGAAATTTCATAAACTAGTAGATACTATATGAGGAGTCTTCAAAATGTTGATGGATAGTGTACATTATTAAAAGCTATGCATGAATGTCAAAAAAATTTGCACCAAAATAAATTCTCCCTAACTTGTTATAACATGTCTAAATAGGATCTAGTCTGAGGCACTAAGAAGAATAAAACATAAATTTGAAAAGAGCCCCTTTCAGTGCAACATTAATTCCACCAAAATTGAAGCAAGAACAAACATCAAATTCAGGGTGAAGACTGAGTGTAAGAATGGTGAAATCAATCATGCTTTATGAAAAGTTTATGAGGACAATGCCCCCAAATAAATCATCAATTTACAAATAGAAAATTCGCTTTAAGAAGGAATGAGATGATGTTAAAGATGAAGCCTGCAGTGGCAGTCCATCCATATCAATTTGCAAGAACAAAATTATCTTGTTTGTGCTCTAATTGAAAGGGCCCAACAATTAATTGCAGAAACAAAAGCCAACACCACAGACATCTCAATTGGTTCAGCTTATATAGATCTGACTAAAAATTAAAGTTGAGTAAATATTCCATGTGATGGGTGCCAAAACTTTTGTGACCAGATCCGCTTCAGACAACAACAGAGATTTCAATTAAATTTTGAACAAGTGGAATCAAAATCTGAAGCATTTCTTCGAAGAATTGTAATAGGAGATTAAAAAAAAAAGGCTTTACAAGTATAATCCTGAAGACAAAGCATAATCAAAGCAATAGCTACCAGGAGGAGGAAGTGGTCCAGTAAAAGCAAAAGTAAACCAGTCAAGAGCAAAGATCATGGCAACAGGTGTTTGAGATGCTCAAGCCATTTTGCTTGTTGACTTTCTGGGAGAGATAAAGAATAACATCTGCTTATGATAGCATTTTGAGACACTTAGTCAAAGATTTAGCAGAAAAATGCCTAGGAAAGCTTCATCAGAGGGTCCCTCCTCACCATGACAAGTGTTCCTGCTCATTCCTCCCATCAAACAAGGTCAGTTTTACAGGAGGAGTTTCGTTTGTTTGTTTGTTTGTTTGTTTGTTTTGGTTTGGTTTTGAGACAGGGTCTCACTCTGTTGCCCATGCTGGAGTGCAATGGTGTGATCTCAGCTCACTGCAACCTCTGCCTCCCAGGCTCAAACAATTCTCCTGCCTCAGCAACCTGAGAAGCTAGGATTACAGGTATGTGCCACCACGCCCAGCAAATTTTTGTATTTTTGGTAGAGAGTGGGTTTCACAATGTTGGCCAGGCTGGTGAAATCCTGACCTCAAGTGATATGCCTGCCTCAGCCTCCCGAAGTGTTAGGATTACAGTTGTGAGCCACTGTACCCAGCCTAATTTTACAAGAGTTTTGATGAAACATTATTAAGCATCCACCTTACAGTCCTGATGTGGCTACTTCTGACTTCTTTTTGTTTTCTACTCTTAAAGTAAAGAGCACCCATTTTTCTTAGGTAATAATCTTACAAAGATGGCATTGACATGGTAAATTCCCAGAATCCTCAGTTTTTTAGGGATGGACTAAATGACTGGTATCATCACTTACAAAAGTGTCTGGAGAGAAGGTGGTGGAGCAAGATGGCTGAATAGAATCCTCTAATGATTATCCCCTCCACAGGAATACCAAATCGAACAACTATCCACATAATGAAGCACCTTCATGAGAATCAAAAATCAGGTACACAATCACAGTGCCTGGTTTTAACATCATATCAAGGAAAAAGGCACTGAAGAGGGTAGAAAAGACAGTCTTGAATTGCCAACAACATCACCTCTATCCCCTAGCATTAGCTGCATGGCACAGAGAGACAGTATGTGTGATAGGCAGAGGGAGAGGACAGTGATTGTGGGACTTTGCTTTGGAACTCAGTGCTATCTGTCACAGCAAAAGAAACACATGGCAGAATTCAGCCAGTGCCAATGGAGGGAGCATTTAGACCAGTCACAGCCAGAGGGGAATCATCCTTCCCAGTGGTTGGTATCTGAGTTCCAGCTAGGCCGACTGTGAACTAAAGTGCTTTGGGGTCCTAAATAAACATGAAAGGCAGTCTAGGCCACAAGGACTGCAATTCCTGGTCAAGTCTTGGTGCTGTGCTGGACCCTGAGCCAGAGGACATGGGGTACACACAAGCTATAAGACACCAGCTAGGCCAGCCCAGGAGTACTTGTGTCAGCTCTTCGCCAACACAAGGCAGCACAGCTCACAGCTCCAGAAGAAACTCCTTCCTTCTGCTTGAGGAGAGGAGAGGGGAGAGTAAAAAGGACTTTGTCTTGCAATTAGCACACCAGCTTAGCCACAGTAGAATAGGGCACCAAGCAGTGTCCTGAGGCCCACATCCCAGGATCTAGCTCGGGATGACATTTCTAGACACATCCTGGGCCAGAAGGGAACCTGCTGCCTTGTAGGGGAGAACCCAGTTCTGGCGGCATTCATCATCTGCATGGGCCTTGAATAAACATCAGTTGTAACCAGGCGGTAGTTGCTGTGGGCTTTGGGTGAGAACTAGTGCTGTGCTGGCTTCAGATGTGACCCAGCACAATACCAGCTGTGGTGGCCATTACAACAGGCTCTTTATACTTGAGGAAAGAAGAGAAAAGAGTGGGAAAGACTTTGTCTTGTGGTGGGGGTGCCAGCTTAGGTGGAGTAGAATAGAGCAGGAGGTAGAATCCTAAGGTTCCTGATTCCTGGCCCTGGTTCCCGAATGGCAGTTCTGGCCTTGAATGAAGATTGGCAATTACCAGGCAGTGGTCGCCTCCGGATTTGGACAAGACCCAGTACTGTGCTGGATTCGGGTCTGACTCACCACAGTCCAAGTGATGGTAGCCACCAGGTGCTTGTGTCACCCCTTTGCCAATACCAGGCAGCTCAGGATGGAGACGGAGACTCTGTCTGCTTTGGAGAAAGTAAAGAAAGAGAACAAGAGTCTTTGCCTCTTGTTCCAGAAAATTATCTTGGATCTTATCAAAGAACATCAAGGTGATCTTGACAAGTCTGCAAGAGTCATAGTGTTACTGGTTTGAGATGCCCCCTAATGCAGATATAGCTGTAGTGATCAAAGACTTAGGCCACAATACTCAATTCCTTCAGAATGCTTGGAAAATCTTCTCCAAAAAGACAGGAACAAACAAGCCCAGGCTGCAAACAATAAAACAAATACCTAACTCTTCAATGTCCAGACTCTAACAAACATCTATAAGCATCAACACCATCCAGGAAAACATGACCTCAAAAATGAACTAAGTAAGGCACCAAGGACCAATCCTGGAGAAACAGAGATAGTGGCTTTTCAGACAAGAGAATTCAAAATACCTATTTTGAAGAAGCACAACAAACTTCAAGACAACACAGAAAAAGAATTCAGAATCCTATCAGAGAAATTTAACAAAGAGATTACAATAAGTTTTAAATATCAAGCAGAAATTCTGGAGCTGAAAAATTCAATGGACACACTGAAGAATGTATCAGTCTCTCAATAGTCGAACTGATCAAGAAGAAGAAAGAATTAGAGAGCTTGAAGACATGTATCTGAAAATAAATAGTCAGAAAAGGCAAAAAATAATAATAAAAAACAATGGAGCATGCCTACAAGATCTAAATAATAGGCTCAAAAAGGCAAATCTATGAGTTACTGGCCTGATATAGTCTGACTGTGTCCCCATTCAAATCTCAACTTGAATTGCATCTCCCAGAATTTCCACGTGTTGTGGGAGGAACCCAGGTGGAGGTAATTGAATCATGGGGGTGTGGTCTTTCCTCTGCTATTCTTGCAGAGTGAATAAGTCTCACGAGTTTCCCCTGCTATTCTGGTGTAGTGAATAAGTCTCACGAGATCTAACGGGTTTATCAGGGGTTTCCGCTTTTGCTTCATTCTCATTTTCTCTTGCTGCTGCCACTTAAGAGGTGCCTTTAGCCTCCCAGCGATTCTGAGGCCTTCTCAGCAATGTGGAACTGTAAGTCCAATTAAACCTCTTTTTCTTCCAAGTCTCAGGTATGTCTTTATTAGCAGCATAAAAACAGACTAATAGAGTAAATTGGTACCCATAGAGTGGGGCGTTGACGAAAAGATACCCGAAAATATGGAAGTGACTTTGGAACTGGGTAACAGGTAGAGGTTGGAACAGTTTGGTGGGCTCAGAAGAAGATGGGAAAATGTGGGAAAGTTTGGAACTTCCCAGAGACTTGTTGAATAGCTTTGACCAAAAGCCTGAGAGTGATATGGACAATAAGGTCCAGGCTTACGTGGTCTCAGGTAGAGATGAGGAACTTGTTGGGAAATGGGGCAAAGGTGACTCTTATTATGTTTCAGCAAAAAAACTGGTGGCATTTCGTCCCTGCCCTAGAGATTTGTGGAACTTTGAACTTGAGATAGATGATTTAGGGTATCTAGCAGAAGAAATTTCTAAGCAGCAAAGCATTCAAAACGTGACTTGGGTGCTTTTAAAAGCATTCTGTTTTAAAAGGGAAACAGAGCATAAAAGTTCAGAAAATTTGCAGCCTAATGCAGTAGAAAAGAAAAACCCATTTTTCTTATTTATTTATTTTATTTTTAAATTATACTTTAAGTTCTAGGGTACATGCGCACAATGTGCAGGTTTGTTACATAGGTGTACATATGCCATGTTGGTTTGCTGCACCCATTAACTCGTCATTTACATTAGGTATTTCTCCTAATGCTATCCCTCCCCCTGCCCCCAACCCCACGACAGGCCCCGGGGTGTGATGTTCCCCACCCTATGTCCAAGTGTTTTCATTGTTCAATTCCCACCTATGAGTGAGAACATGCAGTGTTTGGAAAAACCCATTTTTCTGGGGAGAAATTCAAGCTGGCTACAGAAATTTGCATAAGTAGCAAGGAGCCTAATGTTAATTCCCAAGACCATGGGGAAAATGTCTCCAGGCCATGTCAGAGACCTTCGCAGCAGCCCCTCCCATCACAGGCCTGGAGGCCCCGGAGGAAAAAGTAGTTTTGTGGGCTGGGCCCAGGGTTACCTGTGCTGCGTGCGGCCTAGGGACTTGGTTCCCTGTGTCCCAGCCACTCCAGCCCTGGCTGAAAGGGGCCAATGTACAGCTCAGGCTGTGGCTTCAGAGGGTGGAAGCTCCAAACCTTGGCAGCTTCCATGTGGTGTTGAGCCTGCGGGTGCACCAAAGTCAAGAATTGAGGTTTGGGAACCTCCACCTAGATTTCAGAAGATGTATGGAAATGCCTGGATGCCCAGACAAAAGTTTGCTTCAGGGTGGGGCCCTCATGGGGAACCTCTGATAGGGCAGTGCGGAAGGGAAATGTGGAGTCAAAGTCCCAACACAGGCAGTGCCCACAGGGGGACTGCCTAGTGGAGTTGTGAGAATAGGGCCACCATACTCCAGACCCCAGAATGGTAGATCCACGGACAGTTTGCACCATGTGCCTGGAAAAGCTGCAGACACTAAACACCAGCCTGTGAAGGCAGCCAGAAGGGAGGCTGTACTCTGCAAAGCCACAGGGGTGGAGCTACCCAAGATGATGGGAACCCACCTCTTGCATCAGTGTGACCTGGATAAGAGACGTGGAGTCAAAGGAGATCATTTTGGAGCCTTAAAATTTGACTGCCTCACTGGATTTTGGACTTGCATGGGCCCTGTAACTCCTTTTTTTTGGCCAATTTCTCCCATTTGGAAAGGATGTATTTACCTAATACCTGTACCCCATTGTATCTAGGAAGTAACTAGCTTGCTTTTGATTTTACAGACTCATAGGTGGAAGGCACTTGCCTTGTCTCAGATGAGACTTTGGACTGTGGACTTTTGGGTTAATGATGAAATAAGTTAAGACTTTGCGGGACTGTTGGGAAGGCATGATTGGTACTGAAATGTGAGGACATGAAATTTGGAAGGGCCAGGGGCAGAAAGATATGGTTTGGCTGTCTCCCCATTCAAATCTCAACTTGAATTGTATCTCCCAGAATTCCCACGTTATTGTGGGAGGGACCCAGGTGGAGGTGATTGAATCATGGGGGATGGTCTTTCCCGTGCTATTCTTGTATAGTGAATAAGTCTCACAAGATCTGCTGGGTTTATCAGGGGTTTCTGCTTTTGCTTCTTTCTCATTTTCTCTTGCTGCTGCCATATAAGAAGTGCCTTTCGTCTCCCACCATGATTCTGAGGCCTCCTCAGCCATGTCGAACTGTAAGTCCAATTAAACCTCTTTTTCTTCCCAGTCTTGGGTATGTCTTTATCAGCAGCATGAAAACAGACTAATACATGGGGCCTTAAAGAGGAGGTAGTGAGAGGTAGACCAGGGTAGACAGCATTATTCAAAGAGATAATAACAGAAAACATTCCAAACCTAGAGAAAGATATCAATATTCAAGTACAAGAAGGTTATAAAACACCAAGCAGATTTAACCCAAAGAAGACTACCTCAGGGCATTCAATAATCAAACTCCCAAAGGTCAAAGATAAAGAAACAATCCTAAAAGCAACAAAAGAAAAGAAACAAATAACATACAATGGAGCTCCACTAAGTTTGGCTGCAGACTTCTCAGTGGAAACCCTACAAAACAGGAGAGTGGCATGACATATTTTAAGTGCTGAAGGAAAAAAAAACTTTTATCCAGTGAAAATATACTTCAAATATGCAGAAGAAATAAAGACTTTCCCAGACAAACAAAAACTGAGGGATTTCATTAATTGCTGACCTATCCTACAAGAAAAGCTAAATGATGTACTTCAATCAGAAAGGGAATGATGTTAATGGGCAAAAAGAAATCATCTGGAGGTCCAAAACTCACTGCTAATAGGAAGTACATAGACAAATACAGAATATGATAACACTGTAACAGTGGTCTGTAAACTACTTATATCTTCCATATAAAGATCAAAAGATAAAACTATCAAAAATAACTACAACAGTGTTTTAAGAGATAGTGTAATAAGATTTAAATAGAAACAACAAGAAGTTAAAAAGTGGGAGAGATGAATAAAAGTGTGAATTTTTATTAGTTTTCCTTCTGCTTTTTCGTTTGGTTTTACAAGCAGTGTTAAGTTGTCATTAGTTTTAAATGATTGGTTACAAAATGTTATTTGCAAGCCTTGTGGTAACCCTGAAATACCTACAACAGATACAAACACACAAAAATGGCAAGAAATTAAAACACCATCAGAGAGGAGAACCTTCACAAAAACAACAGAACGGGAAAAGGAAGGAAGGGAAGGAGAGAGAAAGGGAGGGAGGGAGGGAGAAAGATCATAAGGCAACCAGAAAACAAACAGCAAAATAGCAGGAGTAGGTCCTTAGTTTATCAATAACAATATTGAATGTAAGTGAACTAAAGTCTCCAATCAAAAGAAATGGAGTGGCTGAATGGATTAAAAAAATAAAAAAAAGACCCAATGATCTTTTGGCTACAAGAAATATTTCATCAATAAAGACACACATAGACTAAAAATAAAGGAATGGGAAAAGATATTCCATGCAAATGAAAACCAAAAAAAGGAGTAGCTACACTTATATCAGATAAAATAGAATTCAATATTAAAAACTATGAAAAGAGACCAAAAGGTCATTATATAATGATAAAGGGGTCAATTCGACAAAAGGATAAATAGTTATAAATTTATATGCATCAACACTGAAGCACCCAGATATATAAAGCAAATATTATTATAGCTAAGAAAGAGATAGACCCCAATACAGTAATAGTTGGAGACTTCAACATACCACTTTCAGCACTGGACAGATCATCCAGACTGAAAAATCAACAAAAAAATTGGACTTAGCACTATAAACCAAATGGACCTAATAGATATTTCATCCAGCAGCTGCAGAATACATATGCTTCTCCTCAGTGCATAGATCTCAAAGACAGACCATTTTTTTTTTTTTTTTTTTTTGAGACAGAGTCTCACTCTGCTGCCAGGCTGGAGTGCAGTGATGCGATCTCGGCTCACTGCAACCTCCGCCTCCCGGGTTCAAGGGATTCCCCTGCCTCAGCCTCCCAAGTAGCTGGGACTACAGGCATGCACCAACATGCCCAGCTAATTTTTGTATTTTAGTAGAGATGGGGTTTTCCCATGTTGGCCAGGATAGCCTTGATCTCCTGACCTCGTGATCTGCCCCCATCGGCCTCTCAAAGTTCTGGGATTACAGCCGTGAGCCACCACACCTGGCCTAAAATGTTTTTAAAACCTGAAATCATATCAATTATCTTCTCAGACCACAATGGAATAAAACTAGAAATCAACAACAAGAGGAATGTTGGAAACTATACAAACACATAGAAATTAAACACTATGCTGCTGAATGACCAGTGAGTCAATGAAGAAATTAAGAAGGAAATTCAAAAATTCCTTAAAACAAATTAAAATGGAAACCCAACACACCAATATCTCTGGAATACAGTGAAAGCAATACTGAGAGCAAAGTTTATACCAGTAAGTGCCTACATTAAAATGTAGAACAAAGAAATAACTAAGATGAAAGCAGAAATAAATGAAATTGGAAAGAGAAAAAGAACAATACACAAGATTAACAAAAGGTTAGTTTTTTGAAAAATTTTTCGAAAAGTTCGAAAAGTTTTTTGAAAACAAAATCAACAAACCTGTAGGAAGATTAAGAAAAAAAGAGAGAAGACAAATAAATAAAATCAGAGATTAAAAAAAAATTACAACTGATTCCACAGAAATTCAAAGATCATTAGAAGCTACTATCAACAACCATATGCCAATAAATCAGAAAACCTAGAAGAAATGGACAAATTCCTAGACACATATAACCTACCAAGATTGAACCAGGAAAAAATTAAAAACTCGAATAGACCCTTAACAAGTAATGAGACTGAGATGTAATAAAAAGTCTCCTATCAAGAAAAGTCCCAGAAAATGATGGCTTCACTGCAGAATTTTACAAAACATTTGAAGAACTAATATCAATCCTATTCAAACTATTCCAAAAAATAATGGAGGAGTGAATACTTCCAAACTCATTCTATGAGGGCAGTATTACCCTGATAACAAAACCAGACAAAGACACATCAAAAAAAGAAAATTCCAGGCCAACATTTCTGACGAACATTGATACAAAAAATCCTCAACAAAATACTAGCAAACCAAATTCAACAACACATTAAAAACATCATTCATCATGATCAACTGAGATTTATCCCCAGGATGTAAGGATGGTTCAACATATGCAAATCAATCAATATAAACATCATATAAAAAGAATGAAGGACGTAGACCATATGATCATTTCAATTGATACAAAAAAACCATTCAATAAAATTCACCATCTCTTCATGATTAAATTTAAAAAAACCTAAAAAAACTGGATAGAGAAGAAACATACTTCAACACACAATAAAAGCCATATAGAAAAGAACCACATCTACATATGCGTAAAACCTGAAAATCTTTCCTCCAAGATCTGGAACAAGACAAAGATGCCCACTTTCACCACCGTTATTCAACATAGTCCTGGAAATCCTAGCTAAAGGAATCAGATAAGATAAAGAAATAAAGGTCATCCAAACTGAAATGGAAGAAGTCAAATTATCCTTCTTTGCAGATGATATAATCTTATATTTAGAAAAACCTAAAGACTTAATCAAGAAATTATTAGAACTGAGAAGTAAATTACATAAAATTACAGGATATAAAATCAATATATGAAAATCAATAGCATTTAAATATGCCAACAATGAACAATCTGAAAAAGAAATTTAAAATTTAAGAATCCAATTTGCAACAGCTACAAATAAATTATCTAGGAATAACTTAACCAAAGAAGTGAAAGATCTGTACAATAAGAACTACAAAACACTGATGAAAGAAACTGAAGAGGAGGGAGGAACCAAGATGGCCGAATAGGAACAGCTCCGGTCTACAGCTCCCAGCGTGAGCCACGCAGAAGACGGGTGATTTCTGCATTTCCATCTGAGGTACCGGGTTCATCTCACTAGGGAGTGCCAGACAGTGGGCGCAGGCCAGTGTGTGTGCACCGTGCGCGAGCCGAAGCAGGGCGAGGCATTGCCTCACCTGGGAAGCGCAAGGGGTCAGGGAGTTCCCTTTCCGAGTCAAAGAAAGGGGTGACGGACGCACCTGGAAAATCGGGTCACTCCCACCCGAATATTGCGCTTTTCAGACCGGCTTAAGAAACGGCGCACCACGAGACTATATCCCACACCTGGCTCAGAGGGTCCTACGCCCACGGAATCTCGCTGATTGCTAGCACAGCAGTCTGAGATCAAACTGCAAGGCGGCAACGAGGCTGGGGGAGGGGCGCCCGCCATTGCCAAGGCTTGCTTAGGTAAACAAAGCAGCAGGGAAGCTCGAACTGGGTGGAGCCCACCACAGCTCAAGGAGGCCTGCCTGCCTCTGTAGGCTCCACCTCTGGGGGCAGGGCACAGACAAACAAAAAGACAGCAGTAACCTCTGCAGACTTAAGTGTCCCTGTCTGACAGCTTTGAAGAGAGCAGTGGTTCTCCCAGCACGCAGCTGGAGATCTGAGAACGGGCAGACTGCCTCCTCAAGTGGGTCCCTGACCCCTGACCCCCGAGCAGCCTAACTGGGAGGCAGCCCCCAGCAGGGGCACACTGACACCTCACATCGCAGGGTATTCCAACAGACCTGCAGCTGAGGGTCCTGTCTGTTAGAAGGAAAACTAACAACCAGAAAGGACATCTACACCGAAAACCCATCTGTACATCACCATCATCAAAGACCAAAAGTAGATAAAACCACAAAGATGGGGAAAAAACAGAACAGAAAAACTGGAAACTCTAAAACGCAGAGCGCCTCTCCTCCTCCAAAGGAACGCAGTTCCTCACCAGCAACAGAACAAAGCTGGATGGAGAATGATTTTGACGAGCTGAGAGAAGAAGGCTTCAGACGATCAAATTACTCTGAGCTACGGGAGGACATTCAAACCAAAGGCAAAGAAGTTGAAAACTTTGAAAAAAATTTAGAAGAATGTATAACTAGAATAACCAATACAGAGAAGTGCTTAAAGGAGCTGATGGAGCTGAAAACCAAGGCTCGAGAACTACGTGAAGAATGCAGAAGCCTCAGGAGCCGATGCGATCAACTGGAAGAAAGGGTATCAGCAATGGAAGATGAAATGAATGAAATGAAGCGAGAAGGGAAGTTTAGAGAAAAAAGAATAAAAAGAAATGAGCAAAGCCTCCAAGAAATATGGGACTATGTGAAAAGACCAAATCTACGTCTGATTGGTGTACCTCAAAGTGATGTGGAGAATGGAACCAAGTTGGAAAACACTCTGCAGGATATTATCCAGGAGAACTTCCCCAATCTAGCAAGGCAGGCCAACGTTCAGATTCAGGAAATACAGAGAACGCCACAAAGATACTCCTCGAGAAGAGCAACTCCAAGACACATAATTGTCAGATTCACCAAAGTTGAAATGAAGGAAAAAATGTTAAGGGCAGCCAGAGAGAAAGGTCGGGTTACCCTCAAAGGAAAGCCCATCAGACTAACAGCGGATCTCTCGGCAGAAACCCTACAAGCCAGAAGAGAGTGGGGGCCAATATTCAACATTCTTAAAGAAAAGAATTTTCAACCCAGAATTTCATATCCAGCCAAACTAAGCTTCATAAGTGAAGGAGAAATAAAATACTTTATAGACAAGCAAATGCTGAGAGATTTTGTCACCACCAGGCCTGCCCTAAAAGAGCTCCTGAAGGAAGCGCTAAACATGGAAAGGAACAACCGGTACCAGCCGCTGCAAAATCATGCCAAAATGTAAAGACCATCGAGACTAGGAAGAAACTGCATCAACTAATGAGCAAAATCACCAGCTAACATCATAATGACAGGATCAAATTCACACATAACAATATTAACTTTAAATATAAATGGACTAAATTCTGCAATTAAAAGACACAGACTGGCAAGTTGGATAAAGAGTCAAGACCCATCAGTGTGCTGTATTCAGGAAACCCATCTCACGTGCAGAGACACACATAGGCTCAAAATAAAAGGATGGAGGAAGATCTACCAAGCAAATGGAAAACAAAAAAAGACAGGGGTTGCAATCCTAGTCTCTGATAAAACAGACTTTAAACCAACAAAGATCAAAAGAGACAAAGAAGGCCATTACATAATGGTAAAGGGATCAATTCAACAAGAGGAGCTAACTATCCTAAATATTTATGCACCCAATACAGGAGCACCCAGATTCATAAAGCAAGTCCTGAGTGACCTACAAAGAGACTTAGACTCCCACACATTAATAATGGGAGACTTTAACACCCCACTGTCAACATTAGACAGATCAACGAGACAGAAAGTCAACAAGGATACCCAGGAATTGAACTCAGCTCTGCACCAAGCGGACCTAATAGACATCTACAGAACTCTCCACCCCAAATCAACAGAATATACATTTTTTTCAGCACCACATCACACCTATTCCAAAATTGACCACATAGTTGGAAGTAAAGCTCTCCTCAGCAAATGTAAAAGAACAGAAATTATAACAAACTATCTCTCAGACCACAGTGCAATCAAACTAGAACTCAGGATTAAGAATCTCACTCAAAGCCGCTCAACTACATGGAAACTGAACAACCTGCTCCTGAATGACTACTGGGTACATAACGAAATGAAGGCAGAAATAAAGATGTTCTTTGAAACCAACGAGAACAAAGACACCACATACCAGAATCTCTGGGACGCATTCAAAGCAGTGTGTAGAGGGAAATTTATAGCACTAAATGCCTACAAGAGAAAGCAGGAAAGATCCAAAATTGACACCCTAACATCACAATTAAAAGAACTAGAAAAGCAAGAGCAAACACATTCAAAAGCTAGCAGAAGGCAAGAAATAACTAAAATCAGAGCAGAACTGAAGGAAATAGAGACACAAAAAACCCTTCAAAAAATCAATGAATCCAGGAGCTGGTTTTTTGAAAGGATCAACAAAATTGATAGACCGCTAGCAAGACTAATAAAGAAAAAAAGAGAGAAGAATCAAATAGACACAATAAAAAATGATAAAGGGGATATCACCACAGATCCCACAGAAATACAAACTACCATCAGAGAATACTACAAACACCTCTACGCAAATAAACTAGAAAATCTAGAAGAAATGGATACATTCCTCGACACATACACTCTCCCAAGACTAAACCAGGAAGAAGTTGAATCTCTGAATAGACCAATAACAGGCTCTGAAATTGTGGCAATAATCAATAGTTTACCAACCAAAAAGAGTCCAGGACCAGATGGATTCACAGCCGAATTCTACCAGAGGTACAAGGAGGAACTGGTACCATTCATTCTGAAACTATTCCAATCAATAGAAAAAGAGGGAATCCTCCCTAACTCATTTTATGAGGCCAGCATCATTCTGATACCAAAGCCGGGCAGAGACACAACCCAAAAAGAGAATTTTAGACCAATATCCTTGATGAACATTGATGCAAAAATCCTCAATAAAATACTGGCAAACCGAATCCAGCAGCACATCAAAAAGCTTATCCACCATGATCAAGTGGGCTTCATCCCTGGGATGCAAGGCTGGTTCAATATACGCAAATCAATAAATGTAATCCAGCATATAAACAGAGCCAAAGACAAAAACCACATGATTATCTCAATAGATGCAGAAAAAGCCTTTGACAAAATTCAACAACCCTTCATGCTAAAAACTCTCAATAAATTAGGTATTGATGGGACGTATTTCAAAATAATAAGAGCTATCTATGACAAACCCACAGCCAATATCATACTGAATGGGCAAAAACTGGAAGCATTCCCTTTGAAAACTGGCACAAGACAGGGATGCCCTCTCTCACCGCTCCTATTCAACATAGTGTTGGAAGTTCTGGCCAGGGCAATCAGGCAGGAGAAGGAAATAAAGGGTATTCAATTAGGAAAAGAGGAAGTCAAATTGTCCCTGTTTGCAGACGACATGATTGTTTATCTAGAAAACCCCATCATCTCAGCCCAAAATCTCCTTAAGCTGATAAGCAACTTCAGCAAAGTCTCAGGATACAAAATCAATGTACAAAAATCACAAGCATTCTTATACACCAACAACAGACAAACAGAGAGCCAAATCATGAGTCAACTCCCATTCACAATTGCTTCAAAGAGAATAAAATACCTAGGAATCCAACTTACAAGGGATGTGAAGGACCTCTTCAAGGAGAACTACAAACCACTGCTCAAGGAAATAAAAGAGGACACAAACAAATGGAAGAACATTCCATGCTCATGGGTAGGAAGAATCAATATCGTGAAAATGGCCATACTGCCCAAGGTAATTTACAGATTCAATGCCATCCCCATCAAGCTACCAATGACTTTCTTCACAGAATTGGAAAAAACTACTTTAAAGTTCATATGGAACCAAAAAAGAGCCCGCATCGCCAAGTCAATCCTAAGCCAAAAGAACAAAGCTGGAGGCATCACACTACCTGACTTCAAACTATACTACAAGGCTACAGTAACCAAAACAGCATGGTACTGGTACCAAAAGAGAGATATAGATCAATGGAACAGAACAGAGCCCTCAGAAATAATGCCACATATCTACAACTATCTGATCTTTGACAAACCTGAGAAAAACAAGCAATGGGGAAAGGATTCCCTATTTAATAAATGGTGCTGGGATAACTGGCTAGCCATATGTAGAAAGATGAAACTGGATCCCTTCCTTACACCTTATACAAAAATCAATTCAAGATGGATTAAAGATTTAAACGTTAGACCTAAAACCATAAAAACCCTAGAAGAAAACCTAGGCATTACCATTCAGGACATAGGCGTGGGCAAGGACTTCATGTCCAAAACACCAAAAGCAATGGCAACAAAAGACAAAATTGACAAATGGGATCTAATTAAACTAAAGAGCTTCTGCACAGCAAAAGAAACTACCATCAGAGTGAACAGGCAACCTACAACATGGGAGAAAATTTTCGCAACCTACTCATCTGACAAAGGGCTAATATCCAGAATCTACAATGAACTCAAACAAATTTACAAGAAAAAAACAAACAACCCCATCAAAAAGTGGGCGAAGGACATGAACAGACACTTCTCAAAAGAAGACATTTATGCAGCCAAAAAACACATGAAGAAATGCTCATCATCACTGGCCATGAGAGAAATGCAAATCAAAACCACTATGAGATATCATCTCACACCAGTTAGAATGGCGATCATTAAAAAGTCAGGAAACAACAGGTGCTGGAGAGGATGTGGAGAAATAGGAACACTTTTACACTGTTGGTGGGACTGTAAACTAGTTCAACCATTGTGGAAGTCAGTGTGGCGATTCCTCAGGGATCTAGAACTAGAAATACCATTTGACCCAGCCATCCCATTACTGGGTATATACCCAAAGGACTATAAATCATGCTGCTATAAAGACACATGCACACGTATGTTTATTGCGGCACTATTCACAATAGCAAAGACTTGGAACCAACCCAAATGTCCAACAATGATAGACTGGATTAAGAAAATGTGGCACATATACACCATGGAATACTATGCAGCCATAAAAAATGATGAGTTCATGTCCTTTGTAGGGACATGGATGAAATTGGAAACCATCATTCTCAGTAAACTATCGCAAGAACAAAAAACCAAACACCGCATATTCTCACTCATAGGTGGGAATTGAACAATGAGATCACTTGGACACAGGAAGGGGAATAGCACACTCTGGGGACTGTGGTGGGGTCGGGGGAGGGGGGAGGGATAGCATTGGGAGATATACCTAATGCTAGATGACACGTTAGTGGGTGCAGCGCACCAGCATGGCACATGTATACATATGTAACTAACCTGCACAATGTGCACATGTACCCTAAAACTTAGAGTATAATAAAAAAAAAATAAATAAAAAAAAAAAGAAAAAAAAACAATACAGCATCTAAAACAAAGGAGGTATTAAAAAATAACTTTACAGTCTCATATTCATTTATTTAACCAAAAGTTGTTAGAGCATTAACTTTGTGTATTAGTCCATTTTAAATTGCTGTAAAGGAACACCTGAGACATGGTAATTTATAAATAAAAGAAGTTTATTTGGCTCACAAAAAAAAAAAAAAAAAAAAAAAAAAAAGAAACTGAAGAGGTCACAAAAAATGGAAAGATATTCCATGTTCATGGATTAGAAGAATCAATATTGTTAAAATGTCCAAAGCAATGTGCAGATTCAGTGTAATCCGAATCAAAGTATCAATCTCATTCTTCACAGAAATATAAATAAATAATCGTAAATTTTGATGGAACCCATGAAAGACCTGGAATAGCCTAAGCCATCCTAAACAAAAAGAACAAAACTGGAGAACTCACATTACCTGACTTCAAATTATACTACAGAGCTACTGCAACCAAAACAGCACGGGACTGGCATAAAAAGAAACACATAGACCAATGGAACAGAATAAAGAATCCAGAAGTAAATCCATACATCTACATTGAACTCATTTTTGACAACATGCCAAGAACATACATTGTTGAAAGGAGAGTCTCTTCAATAAATGGTGCTGGGAAGACTGAATAATCCATATGCAGAAGAATGAAACTAGACCCCTTTCTCTCGACATATATAAAAATCAAGTAAAAGTGGACTAAAGGCTTAAATCTAAGTCCTCAAACTATGAAACTAACACAAGAAAACATTAAGGAAACTCTCAAAGACATCAAGCTGGGCAAAAATTTCTTCAGTAATACCCCACGAGCACAAGCAACCAAAGAAAAAATGGACAAATGAGATCATATCAAGTTAACAAGTTAAAAAGCTTCTTCACAGCAAAGGAAATGATCAACGAAGTGAAGAGATAATCTACAAAATGGAAGACAACATTTGCAAACTTCATCTGACAAATGATGAACAACCGGAATATATAAGGAGCTCCAACAACTCAATAGAAAAAAAATCTAATAATCCAATTTAAAAATGGGCAAAAGATTTGAATAAACATTTCTCAAAAGAAGAAATACAAGTATCAAACAGGTATATAAAAAAGTGCTCAACATCATCAATCACTGGAGAAATGGAAATTAAAACTACAATGAGATATCATCTCACCCAAGTTTTAATGGCTTTTATCCAAAAAATAGGCAATAACAAATGCTGACAAGGATGTGGAGAAAAGGGAACTCTTGTACACTGTTAGTGGGAATGTAAATTAGTGCAACCACTATGAAGAACAGTATAGAAGTTCTGCAAAAAATTAAAAACAGAACCACCATATGATCCAGCAATCCCACTGCTAGGTATATTCACAAAAGAATGGAGGTCACTATGTTGAAGAGATATCTGCACTCCTATGTTTACTGTGGTACTATTTGCAATAGCCAAGATTTGGAGGCAACCTAAGTGTTCATCAACAGATGAATGGATAAAGAAAATGTGGTACATGTACACAATGGAGTACTATTCAGCCATAAAAAAGAATGAGATTCTGTCATTTGCAACAACATAGATAGAACTAAAAGACATTATGTTAAATGAAATAAAACAGGCAGAAAAAGACAATCTTCTCACTCATTTGTGGGAGCTAAAAAAACAAAACAATTAATTCATGGAGATGGAGAATATAATGATAGTTACCATAGGTTGAGAAGGGTAGCGGGAGTAGTGGGGGCAAAGTGGAGATGTTTAATGGGTACAAAAATATAGTTAGATAGAATGAATAAGATCTATTATTTGACAGGAAAACAAAGTGACTACAGTCAACAATAATTTATTGTACATTTAAAAATAACTAGGCCGGGCCAGGCGTGGTGGCTCATGCCTATAATCCTAACATTTTGAGAGGCTGAGCCAAGCGGATCACCTGAGGTCAGGAGTTCGAGACTAGCCTGGCCAACATGATGAAACCCCCATCTCTACTAAAAATACAAAATTTAGCCAGGCATGGTGGTGCATGCCTGTAATCTTGGCTACTCAGGAGGCTGAGGCAGGAGAATTACTTGAACCCCAGAGGCGGAGGCTGCAGTGAGCCAAGATCATGCCACTACATTCCAGCCTGGGTGACAGAGCAAGACTGTCTCTAAATAAATAAATAAATAGGCCAGGCATGGTGGCTCATGCCTGTAATCCCAGCACTTTTGGAAGCCGAGGCGGGTGGATCACTTGAGGTCAGAAGTTCGAGACCAGCCGGGCCAACATTGCAAAAATCTGTCCCTACTAAAAATACAAAAAACTTAGCCAAGCCTGGTTGTGCACGCCTGTAGTCCCAACTACTCGGGAGGCTGAGGCAGAAGAATCACTTGAACACAGGAGGCGGAGGTTGCAGTGAGTCGAGATTGTGCCACTGCACTCCAGTCTGGGTGACAAAGTGACACTCTGTTTCAAAAAATAATAAATAAATAAATAAATCTAAAGAGTATAATTGGAATGTTTATAACACAAAGAAATAAATGCTTGAGATGGTGAATACCTCATTTCCCCTGATGTTATTGTCATGCATTGCATGCCTGTATCAAAATATCTCAAGTACCCCATAAATATATATACCTACTATGTACTCATTACTTTTTATTTGGAAAGTGTCTTGACCCTGATGGAGCTTATGTTGGGAAGAAAAGTTCACATTATTTTATTCTTTTAATTGCATTTTCCCACAAACTTTTGGAATCCCTTTATAGTGTCTGATTATAATGGTACACAGTTGAACAAATTCTTGCTCTCTCTTTGATTAACTGTATATTATTTAATTGGAAGACGTGATTTTTCTTCTCATATTGTACTTTTATATTTTATTTTATTTTATTTTATTTTATTTATTATTATTATACTTTAAGTTTTAGGGTACATGTGCACAATGTGCAGGTTAGTTACATATGTATACATGTGCCATGCTGGTGCACTGCACCCACTAACTCGTCATCTAACATTAAGTATATCTCCCAATGCTATCCCTCCCCCCTCCCCCCACCCCACAACAGTTTGACCCAGCCATCCCATTACTGGGTATATACCCAAAGGACCATAAATCATGCTGCTATAAAGACACATGCACACATATGTTTATTGCGGCATTATTCACAATAGCAAAGACTTGGAACCAACCCAAATGTCCAACAATGATAGACTGGATTAAGAAAATGTGGCACATATACACCATGGAATACTATGCAGCCATAAAAAATGATGAGTTCATGTCCTTTGTAGGGACATGGATGAAATTGGAAACCATCATTCTCAGTAAACTATCGCAAGAACAAAAAACCAAACACCGCATATTCTCACTCATAGGTGGGAATTGAACAATGAGAACACATGGACACAGGAAGGGGAACATCACACTCATATTGTACTTTTTAAAACAGATCATTTGGCCAGGCACAGTGGCTCACACCTGTAATCCCAGCACTTTGGGGGGCCAAAGCAGATGGATCACCTGAGGCCAAGAGTTCGAGATCAGACTGACCAACACGGTGAAACCCTGTCTGTACTAAAAATACAAAATTAGCTGGGTGTGGTGTGCATGCCTATAATACCAGCTACTTGGGAGGCTGAGGCAGGAGAATTGCTTGAACTCGGGAGGTGGAGGTTGCAGTGAGCCAAGATCGTGCCATTGCACTCCAGCCTGGGCAATGAGAGTAAAACTCTATCTCAATAAATAATACATACATACATACATATATACATACGGAGAATTTTTAAAAATAATTTCATTTTTTTTTCTTAAGTTCTGGGGTACATGTGCAGGATGTGCAGGTTTGTTACATAGGTAAACGTGTGTCATGGTGGTTTGCTGCACTTAACAACCCATCACCTAGGTATTAAGCTCAGCATGTGTTAGCTCTTTTCCCTAATGCTCTCCCCTACCCACCCTCCCCTGACAGGTCCCAGTGTGTATTGTTGCCCTCCCTGTGTCCATGTGTTCTCATTGTTCAGCTCCTACTTACAACACGAGGTGTTTGGTTTTCTGTTCACGAGGTGTTTGGTTTTCTGTTCCTGCGTTAGTTTGCTGAGGATAATGGCTTCCAGCTTCATCCATGTCCCTGCAAAGGACATGATCTCATTCCTTTTTATGGCTGCATAGTATTCAATGGTGTATATGTATCACATTTTCTTTACCCAGTCTATCATTGATGGGCATTTGGATTGATTCCATGTCTTTGTTATTGTGAATAGTGCTGCAATGAACATACGCATGCATGTATCTTTTTAATAGAATGATTTATATTCCTTTGGGTATACATCCAGTAATGGGATTGCTGGGTTAAATGGAATTTCCATTTCTAAATCTTCAAGGAATCACCACACTGTCTTCCACAATGGTTAAAATAGAGAATTTTAAAGTAGAAATAATTTAAGCAGAATCTTCTTTAATAAATACACACACATAGACATGCACACATGATACACTACTTCCTTTGAAACAATTTTCATTGGCAACTTCTATCTTTTTGCCTGCAATCAGTCAACCAACCACTGAAGGAGTATAGCTCCCAAGGCTCAGGTATTGACAACTTGCCATGCCACCACTCCAGGGTGGACTTATCAAGGGCTTGGTCTTTGGAAGTATATCACACAGACTAAGCACATGCTTAGCGCATCAGGGAAACAGTGCCCTGAAAAGGAGCAAAACTGTCTTGGAAGAATTTGATATTTCAAACAAAAACAAAACCACTGAAGTACTCATAATGGGAAAAATGTGAACTTTCCTATACTTTCTTCAAGTTGCTTTACAGAATATCCTCAGCAAATCTACTGGATCTGGGCCCTACCAGTCTGGTGTCCCACCCCATCCAAGACCATCTGTTCTCACTTCCAATTGGGGAAAACTTGATTTATTTTTATGTGCCTTACCTGTCCAGTAAAGCACTATATACTCTTTCAAGCTGAGGTAGCAGGTGGACAGGAAGAAAAGGCTGGGCAAAATTTAGCCCTCTTTGGGTGGGGGGTCCTAAAATTAGATAATGAGCTGTATTCCAAAGCATGGCTGGGTAGAGTAGCTGCAGTATTGCCCTAGAATCAATACTGTCAAAAAGAAATACAATACAACCACAAATGCAAGACAAATATATAATTTAAAATTTTACTGTAGCCACATTTTAAAAAGTAAAAAGCAACAGGAGAAATTTTAATGACATTTAATTCAATGAATGTGAAATATTATC
This sequence comes from Homo sapiens, assembly GCF_000001405.40. NCBI lineage: Eukaryota > Metazoa > Chordata > Mammalia > Primates > Hominidae > Homo > Homo sapiens. Next base: position 174,585,102 of record NC_000001.11, on the reverse strand, counting down.
TTAACATGTAATCTATATTAAAAACTATTAATATTTTACATTCTCTTTTTAATACTAAGTCTTTCAAATATAGTATGAAATATTTTATACTTACAACACTTGTCAATTCTGACTTTTCACATTTTAAGTGCTTGATAATACATGTGGCTAGTGGTTATTACATTGGACAGGGCAGGACTAGATTTTAACGGAGAAGCTACATCCTATACCTTAGCTCCCTTTGCCACAAGCTTTTCTCTCTGTAGGAGGGATTAAAAAAAAAAACACATACACATACATCTTTTGAGTAGGGGAGTAAAAACAGGGAAGAAGAAAATGATAGAAAAGAAGTTCTTAAAACCTGCCTCCAAGAGTGTTAAGTTTATTGGCCTCACAACTAAACATTACAGAGAAAAATGCTCACGGTTTTGCTTCTTCTATCTATCATCTGAGATACCAAGGTTTCTTACAAAGTGGCCAAGCCCATCACCAAGAATGATATATATATTTTTTGACACAGAAGCTCACTCTGTCACCTAGCTAATTTTTAAATGTCACTGTTGAGATGGAGTCTTGCTATGTTGCCCAGGCTAGTCTTAAACTCCTGAAGTCAAGCAATCCTCCTGCCTTGGCCTCCCAAAGCACCAGGATTGCAGGCATGAGACACTGTGCCTGACCCAAGAATGATATTTCTTAGCCATGTTTCCCTATCAGTTATAATTAACAAGGACTGATCCTATCACTCCAGGCTAATAGAGAAACACCAGTAAAAAGCACAAACAGGGGCATGGTCTTAAACATTCTTTATAGACTTTGGCTTAAATGAACTCCACATATGATTGTACAGATCTCAGAGATAATTTTTACCCACAGACTGCCAAAAAATATGAGAGCAATTTTATTTAATCCTGTATTGAGATGGCAGTGATCTGATTATGTTGACATTGCCAGAGTTCTCCATTTAAGCAGTGAGAATGCATAAAGGCTTAGGCTATCCAAGATGATTTTGGGACTTCCCCGCCCCACCCCATGTTTCTCAATCTTCTTTAGGCACAATAGGGACAAGCACTGAGGCTGACCCTTCATAATGGAATGCCTGTTTCAGAAAGCTTATGGAAGTGAAAAAAACTCGGGTTTTAAAGCCACCTACACACTGTATACTCTTAGACAAGTTACTCAATGTCGCCAAGCTTTGTTTTCTTCATTTCCCCTACTAACCCACCACAATTGTGATGCTAATTCTAATTTTCAAAATTGTTTTAAGATTAGATATTATCTATACCAATCATAGCACCTGACACATAGTAAACATAGTAAGGTATTATTAAGCCTAAAATTCTTTTGCTCTTTCTCTACAGCACAAGGGCAATAAGTCTAGTATCTGGAAACTGGGCAACTCCTAGAGCATTCTGATGTTACCAGGAAGCCAGATCACACCTAAAACTTCTAAGATGAATTCACGGTGAACAAATTAGGGTTTAGCAAATACATGGCCATTCCTGGGACTCCTCTATGAGCTATGGGAACTTTTAGTCTCCATTGGTGAATCATGATTATGACCTACTACTCAGCATGTTAGCTCATAACAGAATGAAAAGGAAAAAAGAGATAGTGAATACCATAGCATCTCATAGAATAATTACTGAAAACTTTTGCATCTGACTCACAGGCAAACATACATATATGTATGGGGAGGGTAAAAAAAGTTTGATCACCACTATCTTAGAACACACTAGAATTTCAAGGAGCCCCAAAACTCACTTCCTAGGAGATGCAGATGGGCAGGAAAGAAGAGAGCCTTTGACTCCCTTGAAATGGAATTTTTAGGGCAATCATGAGAGATCTGTAAAAGATGGGCTCTGACATATGGACATAGAATAAGGATATAATGATCGTAATTTTGGTCAATATGTCTGTGTTAAGTCCAACTACCTTCAAATGACTCTAAGACAAAGTATAGTTTGCTAACTAGATGACATGAAATCTTCACTGAATAAAACAGTCATTTTTTCCTTAATGACTGTTTCTTCATAAAAGCACTTGGGAAATATAAGAGTTAAGGCTCTGGAAAAAGGAATTTTTCTGACTTCATAAATAGAATCTGATATAAATCCTTTTTGTGTGTTAATTTAGAGATTTACATAATTTGAAATCCCTAATAAAGTGTATAATACATACGCCATAGTTTGCATTGCTATTTTTGGTTAAGAAAAGAAAAACCAACCTGAATTATTAAAGCACATGTGATTTCTAAACAATGAAGCACCATGGTTTGGAAATGCTTGGATTAAAGGAAAAAGTCCTAGTAGTAAGGCATAAAAGGATTAGGGAAAACAAGTTTGTCTTTTATAAACCTAACAATATCCTATCTTTAAAGAAATCCTCCTTTGAACCCTTCTAGATTATACCCTCAACACTCCACTGAAACTGCTCATTAAGGTTACCTCTGAATTGCCACGCACAAAGGATATTTTTCAGTACTCATATTGTATGAAGTGGACAGCGACTGACAAAGCTAAACATTCCCTCCATCTCTCTCTCTTTTTAAAGAGATGGGGTCTTGCTGTGTTGCCCAGACTAGCCTCAAACTCCAGGGCTCAAGTAATTTCTCTCGCCTCAGCCTCCTCAGTAGCTGGGACTACAGGCACGCACCACTGCCAGGTTCCACTCCATTCTTCTTGAACCTCTTCCTTCATGGGCTCCAGAATACCTCTTGCCTGATTTTCATCTCATCTCTTTGCAGCTTTTCATACACAAAGCCTCAACTTCAAGATGTTCACTAATGATTTTTTTTCAAAGCATGTCTCTAGGCTTCAGATCTACATTTTTTATTTTTATTTTTCTAAGTCTTACTCTGTTGCCCAGGCTGGAGTGCAGCGTGCCACCACACTCAGCTAATATTTTGTATTTTTTTGTACAGATGGGTTTTTTGCCATGTTGCCCAGACTGGTATCAAACTCCTGGGCTCAAACAATCCACCTGCCTTGGCCTCCCAAAGGGCTAGGAATACAGGTGTGAGCTACCTCACCTAGTCTGGGACCTACATGTTAAATTGCCTACTGAGCACCTCCACCTGGTTGTCCGACAGCTAAGTCAAAGTCAGCCTACTTAAAACAATAACTCATCATCTTTTCCCCAAACCATTCTTTCCTTTCCATATTCCTACCCCACTGTGGTAATGGCACCATTCTCTATCTAGCCCTGCTAGCCAGAAATCTAGGAATTACCATATATGCATTCTCCTTCCTTTTAGTGTCAAAGCAATTTAAAACATTTTACCTGTTGTTTCTTATTATTGACCCTCAAATCCATCATCATTGCTCCACTTCTATTGCTCCTACCTTATTTCAGGACCTGAGCTTTGTCTCCCAGAAATATTATAAATAATCTTTTTGTTTAAAAAATAAATTTATTAAGATAAAATTCACATACGAAAAAATTTACCCGTTTAAAGCGTACAATTCCATGACTTTTGGCATATTCAGAGTTGTATATTTGTCACAAGTCGAGGTTTAAAACATTTTCATACCTCCAAAATAAACATCGTATCTTTTTGTCATCACCCTCCAATAATTCTGATTCTCCTACTGAAAGCAGAGGCCATTGGTAGCCTCTACTTTCAGTATCTCAAATAAATTTGCCTATTCTCAACATCTCATATATGCAGAATCATATAAAATGTAGTGTTTGTGACTCATTTCATTCGCTTAGCATCTTTCCAAGGTACATCCACGTTGTAGCATACATCAATGCTTCATTCCTTTTTACTGCTCAGTAATATTCCTCATATGACTATAACGTTTTGGATGTGCTATGAATGGATGAGTTATTTCTTCAGCACTTTATGAACATTTTGGTTGTTTCCACTTTTTTGGCTATTATGAACAATGTTGCTAAATAGATTTGTGTAGAAGTTTTTGTGTTGCTTTGCTTTCAATTCTCTTGGCTATTTACCTATAAATAGAATTGCTGGGTCATATGGTAACTATATATCTAATCTTTTGAGGAAGTGTCAGCTGTTTTCCAAGGCAGCTACAGCATTTTGACATTCCAACCAGCAGTGTATAAGGGTCCCAATTTCTCTACATCCTTGCCAACACTCGACTTTTTGATTACAGCCATATTAGTGGGTGTGAAGTGGTATCTCATCGTGGTTTTCATTTGAATTTCCCTGATGACTAATGGTGTTAAGCATCTTTTCATGTGCTAGCTGGCCATTTGTATGTCTTCTTTGGAGAAATATTCTCTTTGGAGAAATATTGATTCTAATTTTTCAGTTGGGTTACATTTTTATTGAGTTATAAAAATTATTGATATATTCCGAATACTCAATCTTTTTTTTTACTATACTTTAAGTTTTAGGGTATATGTGCACAACATGCAGGTTAGTTACATATGTATACATGTGCCATGTTGGTGCGCTGCACCCATTAACTCGTCACTTAACATCAGGTATATCTCCTAATGCTATCCCTCCCCCCTCCTCCCACCCCACAGCAGGCCCCGGTGTGTGATGTTCCCCTTCCTGTGTCCATGTGTTCTCATTGTTCGATTCCCACCTATGAGTGAGAACATGCAGTGTTTAGATTTTGTCCTTGTGATAGTTTGCTGAGAATGATGGTTTCCAGCTTAATCCATGTCCCTAAGAAGGACATGAACTTATCATTTTTTATGGCTGCATAGTATTCCATGGTGTATATGTGCCACATTTTCTTAATCCAGTCTATCATTGTTGGACATCTGGGTTGCTTCCAAGTCTTTGCTATTGTGAATAGTGCCGCAATAAACATATGTGTGCATGTGTCTTTATAACAGCACGATTTATAATCCTTTGGGCATATACCCAGTAATGGGATTGCTGGGTCAAATGGCTGAATACTCAATCTTTATCAGAGATATGATTTGCAAATTTCCTCTTCTCTAGATTGCCTTTTCATTTTCCTGATGATGTCGTTTAATACAACAAGTCTTAAGTTTTAAGGAAGTCCAGTTTATGTTTTATATTTTGCTGCTTGTACTTTTGGTTTCATATATAATAAACCACTATTAAATACAAAGTCATGGCTGGCCACGGTGTCTCATGCCTGTAATCCCAGCACTTTGGGAGGCCGAGGCAAGGCAGATCACCTGAGGTCAGGAGTTCAAGACCAGCCTGGCCAACATGGTGAAACCCTGTCTCTACCAAAAATAGAAAAATTAGTTGGGCGTGGTGGCACACACTGTAATCCCAGCTACTCAGGAGACTGAGGCAGGAGAATTGCTTGAACCTGGGAGGCAGAGATTGCAGTGAGCTGAGATAGTGCCTTGCACTCCAGCTTGGGCAACAGAGTGAGATTCCATCTCAAAACAAAACAAAACAAATCCAAAGTCATGAAGATTTACCCCTTTGTGTTCTTCGAAGAGCATCACAGTCTTAGCTCTTAAAGTTCATTTTTGTATATGATGTGAGATAGTGACCTGTGGTCTTGCTGCCAAAATGATCTTTCTTAAAAAGCAAACAACCAACAATTCTTACTCCATCATCACATAATTAGAATCTCTAATAGGATGTGTCATATCTACTGCAGTGATTCTTAACTTTGTGGAATTACAGAATCTAATGAAAACTACAAACCCTTTCCACAGCACGTGTGTTCAGTGGATGCGGACGTACAAGTGCATATGCATACTAACACACATACACATACGTAATTTAAAGAGATTCACAATGGACTAAAGCCCATTCAAGGACCCTCAGACAAAAGAATAAAATATAAACTCTTGTGGACTCCCCTTTGCCATTCAATGTCCAACAGGAACTGCCCTAACCCATCATTTTAGCCTACTAGTCATCTGGTCTCCAACTCCCTTCCCACTGATTAGCATTAAAAACTCTCTGACCCTATCCAACGTGCCATGCTCATTATAATCAAATCCCTTTGTACCTACATGTTATTCCTTCTGCTTGAAACACATATCTCCAGTTTACAACATTGTACTCAACATTAAATATAACTATGCAAATGTGTATGGCATATAGAAGGCATAATGTTTGCTAAATCTGAAAAAGGACATAGCAAATATATTTGGGAAAGCAGGTCTCCATATTTTATTTCTAGAAATTTGAGCGACTTAAATGACTGTGTTCTATATGTATTTTTTCCATTCAATAGCTATTATTGGAAAGTCTCATATGTATGAAAACTATACAGCACAAATAAAACAATTTCAAAGAAATAATAAGCCTAAGGGAGACCTAACTGTTCACAAAACTATCTTCTCTATGTTCTTATAAATTTAAGAAAATCATATTGACTGCAGTATCCATTTTAATAAAGTAATAATATAACATAGAAGAATTTATCTTAGAAAATACAATGTTTATTTCTTCAAAAAATTCAATTAGAAAGGTCATTAAATTTTCACCTATATATGTATTTCCATTCCACTACATAAACTATCTTTTCTAGGTAACACTTTACAGTGGATCAGTTTATTTATATTTTGTTAAAATTAACCTCTTCACAAATGTGTTGCCTCTACTTGTAATGTTCTGTGTGGAAGAAAATAAAGTGATACTACAAAGTCATATTGTAAGTAATGGTCTTTCTGAACATGAAACATCCTATGTTTCTTATGCTTATTTTCCAATTAAAAAAAAAACAACTTCTGCCTAGGCTTGGTAACTCACACCTGTAATCCCAGCACTTTGAGAGGCCAAGGTGGGAAAATTGCTTTTGAAACCAGCCAGGGCAAAATAGTGAGATCTCCTCTCTATAAAAAAATCAAAAAATTAGCAGGGCATAGTACTGTGCACCTGTTGTCCCAGCTACTCAGGAAGCTGAGGCAGGAGGACTGCTTGAGCCTGGGAGGTCAAGGCTGCAATGAGTCCTGATCACACCACTGCACTCCTCCCTGGGTGTCAGAGTGAGACTGTCTCAATAAAGAAAAAAGAAAAAAACCTAGTTTCACAATGTAATTTTTTTACAGTTTAATTTTTTTAAAAGTATAGTGGACAAATGAAAATATTCAAACAGGCACATATGCACTACTTTTTAAAATTTATTTCATTTTACCACTATACTTATTTCAACATATAAAAGAATGGTGTTCCCAGTACTTAAGCTATTTCCAATTAGACAATGTTTTATTCAACATTTATCCAAGTGTTGGCAATTGAAAAAAGAGAAGATCAGTGTGATTGGTTAATTAAGATTTCAAAGAAACTGCTGTTCCCTAGAGGGGTGGTTAATTTCTCATTTATAAGCCCATTTGTAACTCCAGCTCTGAGGAATGGTCCTAATAAAATTCACAGTTAAGTAGGCCTTCAAATGCATACCAGCCATCAACATTTGGGCTACCTGCTGCTAGCAAAATATTAATATTTGATGCCACAGCATTTTCATTTTATAAATCTCTTTCAGAGTCTTATGAAACAGCTTTCTTCATGTGTTAAACAGATTACGCTCAGGTTTAATGGTTGGTTTTAGAATGACTTCAAAATAGCCTATAGCTACTAGGAAACTATATATTTTAGATTACTGGCCATATTATTTCCAATGACTGCAAGAGGATATACTATTTTTAGGACAAAGACAACTTATCATAGAATCCTCTGCTGGATCCTCAGTGGTGTTGGTGGCAGTAACAGTAAACACTTAACATAGCACTTACAAGGTTGCCAGGTACTGTTCTAAGCACTTTATAGGTGTTTTTTAATATTTTTAATAACCCAGTGAAGTTGTACACTTAGGGACCAAAAATGTATGGAAATTCTTCCATTGACTATATGTACATATTTATATTGACTATATATATATATAAATATATTTATATTGACTAAATTCTTCCATTGACTATACATATCACTGACTCTCAATGTGTGTGTGTGTGTGTGTGTGTGTGTGTGTGTGTGTGTGTGTGTGTGTGTGTGTATTTTTTCCCCCTAACAGACAGGGTCTCACTCTGTCACCCAGGCTGGAATGTAATGGTGCTATCATGGAGCTATCATAGCTCATTGTAACCTCTAACTCCTGGGCTTAAGGGGTCCTCCTTACCTCAGACTTCTAAAGTAGCTAGGACTATAGGTGCATGCCACAATGCCCAGCTAGTTTTTTGTTTTTTGTTTTATGTAAGATGTGGTTATGTTGCCCAAGCTAGTCTGGAACTCCAGGCATCAGGCAATCCTCCCACCTCAGCCTCCTAAAACACTGGGATTACAGGCATGAGCCACTGCACCCAGCCAATAATATTCTTTACCAGTTTTCATTCCTGAAGATAGCTCCGTTATTTAGCAACTAGATTTTTCTGCATAACCTTTACAGATCCATGAGAAGACATTTTCAACATCAGTGGTTAGAATTAATTTACACAGTCAGTGAATCATAGGATGTTAAATCTGGAGAAAGCTTTAGAGATCTAGCTCAGTTTCAGCAGTGTGATATATCAGGTGAGCTCTCAGGGAACCATACTTAAACATAAACAGCATAAATAAATAGGGAAAAAGTTATAAATATATGTAGGGAGACCCCCTGAAACTACTGCTATGGAATAAAAGATGAAATGCTTCTGATTATTGTAAATATAAAATTGCATGCAGGATTGTGTAAAGACAATGCCAGGTTGGACTGCCAGAATGAGCCAACAGCGTGTGATTTGCTTCCCCCTGCAGAGAGCCTATGAATGGATGTGCAGTCAGGGAGGTTTCACATCACCAAGATTCCTATCCCAGAAAAGCAGATGTTCATAGCTCTGGGAATGGAATGTGACCCTTGTGGAGAGCCTATAAACGGACGCATGAGGGAATGTGACCCTTGTGGAGAGCCTATAAACGGACGCATGAGGGGCGCCTGTTCATGTGGATAAGATAGGGCTATAAATGCCCTCATCTTGCCATGGCTCTTCTAGGCCTCTTTAGGGTTAAGGCATACTCCCTTCTGAGTATTTCTGGTCTAACCAGTTGTCTAGCCTCACATCCTGTTTCTATGGATTGTTTGTAACCAGCTTTTGCTGCAACTGTTACTGCTGATTAATATCTTGCTGATCATAGGTTACGGAAAGACTGTGTTTCTGTTTTAAGGCTCTGTTAGAAATTACTGATGCACACACTATACTGTAAATTCTTTTCTCTGTATACTGTACTTCTGCATACAGATGTTATGTTAAAGAATTACTTCATCCCCACGTGACCATCTCACCTTATAATCAAACAACCCTAAATCCCTCACTAACCTACCCCTGCCCTCACTAAACTTAATAATAAATGCTGGTATATCCAGTGCATTGGCAGCATTGCAGGACCAGAAGGCGGTGACCCTCCTGGACCCAGCTTTCACTATCTTGTGTGTGTCTATTATTTATCGACCTGCCGATCTGCCTGGGAAAAGAAAGAGAGCCCCGCTGCATTGCGGGCTGCTGGCCAGATCCCACAATAAATACAATAAACCATTTATAATTACTTTGGTGCTCAAATAAAATGTCTTTTAAGTATAGATGTCTCTATACATCACAAACAAGGGAGCAATGCAATTGTTATCCTTGGTTGTCAATGACAAAAATACCAGTAATATCTCTCAGTTGCATTTTCTTTTTTCAACAGTTTTCCCATCTATAAAATTTATATACAAGACCTTGCTTAAAATTTCCACATTTCACAACTGATGATGGGTCTTTCAGATAAACAAATCTGGGGATGGAATGAGGTTCCTTCTGGCTTACTTCCTGCCTTCCATGAATAGGCAAAACTCAAGACTTCCCCCAGTAGTCTCCATGGATAGAGCTGCTAAATAATTAGAAGGGTCAAAACAACAACCGAAATGATATAAACACTTTGGAAAATGGTATGTTTTTTACCAAATATATTATCCAGGTAAAAAGTTATCCCATCTGGAAAAAACTACAAAAACTTTTAAAAGAGGCCAGGCATGATGGCTCATGCCTGTAATCCCAGCACTTTGGGAGGCCGAGGTGGGTGGATCACCTGAGGTCGGGAGTTCGCGACCAGCCTGACTAACATGGAGAAACCCCGTGTCTACTAAAAATACAAAATTAGCCAGGTGTGGTGGCGCATGCCTGTAATCCCAGCTACTCGGAAGGCTGAGGCAGGAGAATCGCTTGAACCTGGGAGGCGGAGGTTGCAGTGAGCCGAGATTGTGCCATTGCACTCCAGTCTGGGCAACAAGAGTGAGACTCTGTCTCAAAAACAAACAAACAAACAAACTTTTCAAAGAAAAAGGCAGACAGATCTAAGAGAAAATCCAGTCTACTCTTCCTTCCACCTGATGAAAAGCTTCACTGATTTCTTAGGTACAATGAAGTCTGAGCCTTACACTATTTTCATGTCTGTTTGTGCCATTTAGGTATTAGGAAAAGTGAAATATGACCAAAATTAAATGGCCAATCAGTTGTTTGGTAATGATATCTAAGAAGAATACTCTAACAGTTGAGAAAAAGTGCCACATCAACGTGCATAATAATAACTACATAATACTCTTTTTAAGTTAAAAAAACATGCCATTTTAATATCTGATTGTTGTACTCACAGAAAAACAAAACTTGTACAATTTAAATATGGGCATATTCTTTGAAAAAATGGTACTGGTATCTCCCTTCTGTTTAAAGCTTCAATCTTTTCATCAATAGGAGAGACAAATTTCTATCTGTTTCATCGAAGAATAAAAAGACTAGACCTAAGACCTAAGAATACTATGTTGACTTTCATTGAGAACAAGATCGATATGAGCCTTCAGACGTAAATCGATTAAAAAAAACTAAAAGGGATTTTAAAGTTTCTCATCAAAATGAGTGTGGAAAAACTAAAAAGGATGATGCTTTCTAATAGGGTCACCATCTTTCTTTTACACATATCAGTATCTATTTTGTATTATATATCAGGAAATGTGTGGATATTTGCTAAAAATCAATTGTTTAATAAGGGCAGTTCCATGAGAAAATGGCTTAAATCTGTGGAATTTCTAATTATAGAATAATTGTAAAGAAAAGCAAATTTATTACTTTCAAGTTCTACCCAGTAACAGAAAGGTCCTGGGGGACCTGCTGTAATGACCCGATAAGGCTGCCCGTAATTAGCATGCCTCTTATGTGTATGTTAATCAGCATTCTCAACTACTGAAGGCTGGCTGCTCAGAGACATTTTGTTCTTTTAACTATTGAAAACATTCCCTTTCTAATCTTGTTCACATTATTATTTTGCATAGGCAATTAAATAGAATTCTGGATCCAAAACTAAATTTCAGTTCAAGTACTGTTCACAATCCTTCTTTAATAGAGTTTAAATTAATGAGGTCTTTACTGGGTTTGGTTTTACTTTTTTCTAAATATTTCTGTTAAGCACTTACTACTCTCAGCAACTTTATTTTTTTTTTTGCATTCAATAGTTTATTATGATAATTGAAGATAAAACAAGTTTGACACCAAGAATGGCCATTTCTTATGATTTCTACACATATCTACCACATTTCAGAAGCAGAAAGAAAAAAATCATAATCACTATAAGGCAAAAATATACCATAACATAGTAATAGATCAAATCTCTCAAGGATAAGATTTTCAAAAGAAAAATCCCAGTGCCTTGAAAAATACCTAACATAAAAATTGGTGGGCAGTAATCATTAATATTTTTAAATCACAAAATATTTCTGTGTAAACCAAGAGCAAGGACCTTCTCTTATATAATCGCAATACAAATATCAAAACCAGAAAACACTTAATGACTTTTGATGGTAACATTTTTTGAAGCCAGATTTAATTTCAAATGGTCTCTTGACACTGGAAAATAACATTAAAAGTTATATATATACACACACACACAAATTATATATATATATACACACATACATATAAACATATATAGTGTGTATATATGTCACACATATATACACACATACATATAAACATATATAGTGTGTATATATGTCACACATATATACACACACATATAGTGTATATACACACTAAAGCCAATGATTTTAAAAATATACACACATAAATAGTGTATACATATATATACACACTAAAGTCAATGATTTTAAAAATACTAGCTAAGTGAAATAGCCACTAGCTTGGAATTCAAGAGGTTCTGCCTTTTCTACAGTTAACTAGATAAATGACTTTGGCAAAGTCGATTAATCCCTGGATCTGAGTGCACTTAACCACAAAATGAAGGAATTGGCTTAATTAACTGCCAACATTTCTCCCAAGAGAGATGAGATGATTCTGCTATGATTCTGCACAGGGCTGCTAAATGAGAAAAATCACTGTTTGTTTTTAAACTCAAAGGTATAAGATCTTTAACTTACTTTTCTGCCTTAAGTGTGGCTGCCAAAGTAGTAGAGCAAGTTTCAACTTAGTGCATCCTTTTTCTTGAGTTTCTAATATTTGACTGGAGAAATAAAGGCTTTTAAAACCATATGCTGTAACTTTAACGTATTTAAAAACACAACGTTGGCTGGGCAGGGTGGCTCACGCCTGCAGTCTCAGCACTTTGGGAGGCAGAGGAGGGCAGATCACGAGGTCAGGAGTTCGAGACCAGCCTGGCCAATACAGTGAAACCCCGTCTCTACTAAAAATACAAAAATTAGCTGGGCGTGGTGGTGCATGCCTGTAGTCCTAGCTACTCAGGAGGCTGAGATAGAATTGCTTGAACCCTAAAGGCAGAGGTTGCAGTGAGCCAAGATTGTACCACTGCACTCCAGCCTGGGGTGACTGAGCAAGACTCCGTCAAAACAAACAAACAAACAAAAACAACATTTAGAGGCTTTAAAGAAAATTTCAAGATATAAGATGTTAACAAGAAAACAGGTCAAGCGTAATAACATTTAACATTTCTTCCTTAAGGAACTTTCACATTACTTCATTTAGTCTTCTCAACAAGATGGTGAGCTGTTATGTTTCCAATTTTACAAAAAAAGGTCAAGTTCCAAGATGGTAGAAGGACTGGTCTTACTCCGTAGTCCATGTGAAACTTCTTACTTGACAGTCCATGCTCTATTACACCAAACGATCTCAAATGTCCATGTAAATCCCCTGCATTTCAGTTTGATTTAGCAGGGAATGTTTTTGAAAATGTTTCATTGTAAGCTGTCACTGTCCCATTAGATTAGGGAAGCAGAGCAAAACTTTGCCAAGAGTACAATATCAAAATTTCTTATATTTTATTTGTGAGGCGTTCCTAAAGAAAGATTTAGGATAACTTAAACTTGAGTATTTGGGACTAATCCTGAAAAAAATGATAAGAATTTCTGTTTGCAGCTAAAATGGAGCCACCGTGTTGAAGCAGTGTAAACATACTTTATAATTCATTTGGTTCCCAGCACGGAAACTACATAATTCGTAATGAATTTGGAGTTAATCACATTATTTCAAAATTTTATTGCCCTTTTGAGATTCTGCACAAATTCAGACTGTATAAGAAGCTCTTGTCTGAAGAGCTTTGGTATAGTATGTGACTTAGAAAGACCATATGATCTTGAAATCCTCTAGGAACAAGCATTTATATTGCATGCATACACCACTGATTATGAAATATAATTTATTTTAAAAATTTTTTTATTTTTAATTTCGTGGGTACACAGTAGGTGTATATATTTATGGGGTAATTGAGATGTTTTGGTACAGGCATGCAATGAGTAATAATTACATCATGGAAAACTGGGTATCCATCCCCCTCAAGCATTTATCCTTTCTGTTACAAACAATCCAATTATACTATTTTAGTTATTTTAAAGTGTACAATTAAATTATTATTGACTATAGTGTCTGTGGTGCTCTCAAATACTAGGTCTTACTCATTCTTTCTAATTATTTTTTTTGCCCATCCCTCCTCCCCTGCAACCCTGCCTCCCAAAACTACCCTTCCCAGCCTCTGGTAACTATCCTTCTATTCTCTCTCTATGAGTTCAATTGTTTTGATTTTTAGATCTCAAAAATAAGTGAGAACCTGTGATGTTTGTCTTTCTGTGTCTGGCTTGTTTCACTTAACATAATGATCTCCAGTTCCATCTATGTTGTTGCAAATGACTGGATCTCCTTCTTTTTATGTCTGGCTAGTACTCCATTGTGGAAATGTACAACATTTTCTTTCTCCATTCATCTGCTCATGCACACTTAGGTTGCTTCTAAATCTTAGCTATTGTAAACAGTATTGCAACAAACATGGAAGTGCAGGTATCTCTTCCATATACTCATTTCCTTTCTTTTGGGTATATACCCAGCAGTGGAATTGGTGCATCATATGGCAACTAAATTTTTAGTTTTTTGAGGAATCTCTAAACTGTTCTCCATGGTGGTTGTACTAATTTTATACACCAACAGTGTACAAGGGTTCTCTTTTCTCCACATCCTTGCTAGCATTGGGTATTGCCTGACTTTTTTATAAAAGCCATTTTAACTGGGATGAGATGATATCTCACTATAGTTTTTTTGTCTTTTTATTTATTTTTTATAATTTCAACTTTTATTTTAGATTCAGAGGGGACATGTGTAGGTTTGTTACATGAGTATATTGCACAATGCTGAGATTGGGGGTATGATTAATCCCATCCTCTAGGTAGTAAGCATAGTACCTAACAGTTCATTTTCAATCTTTACTCTCCTCCCCTCTTCCCCTCTCCAGCAGTCCCCAGTGTCTATTGTTGCCATATTTATGTTCGTGTGTATCAAATGTTTAGCTCCGACTTATAAGTGAAAACACACAGTGGTAGGTTTTCTGTTCCTGTGCTAATTCACTTAGGATAATGCAAATGCAATCTCTTTAACCACTAGTCACTAAGATATAAAGCTCTGTGGTCACTCAACCTGTCCAGTATAGAGGCAAAATAAAAACCTAGTCTATCTGAAAACCACCCTGCATCACCGTTATACCTCTATGCATAGTGATGATGACAGAACTGTTTGCTTTAGAAAGTACTTCAAGTTGAGAATATCTATGAATATGTAATGCTGGTAACCTCTTATCAGTTCCAGCCAATACTTTAGGATTGCCTGTCAGCAACTGGTCAACTGGTATAATTTCAACATCTTTTTGTTATTGCTCAAAATAAAAATCATAGAATAACATGCAGCATCTAAAAGCACACTTACCTTATATCAATGGTTTTACAGAATTCACTTCATTCCATAATAACTACACAGGTTCTTAACTTAAAGTTAGATATCATTTTTTCCCAAAAGCCATTTATACATCATTGCTCTTGATAATTAAACAAACTACCCTTCAACTTCTTTCCTTATCTGCTAAGGTTACTTTTCTCAAAATTAGAGATATTTATGCAAAGTAAAAAGAAATGCAAACAACCTTGTCTAGCAGAAGGAAGAAGCAGCAGAGCTTTCAAACTTCTCTACTTCGTTAATTTTTACTCAAGAAAGCTGAGAAAATACACCACTGAATTCTTGAATCCATCTCTGGACATGGGCCTAACTTCAGTAAATTTGGCTTTCTGAGCTATACAATACAAGAGTTAGATCTTTACAATTCCTTATAAAAACTGTTGGGCATCTGAGAGTAGCCAAGGTAAAGAGTATACACTGTGGATGAGAGTGCCCTCTGATCTTTGTTAGTAAGGATTCGTGTCAGGTGAAAAAGTAAGAGGAAACCCCAGAGAGCAGCTTATTTTTCTTTCTAATGTAAATGCCCAAAGGTTGGCAGTACAGGATTGGTGTGGATGCTCTGTTTTCCAAGTTCCATAGGGATCCAGCTCCCTCCCTGCTTTACGCTCTACCATTCTACCGTGCAGCCCTGGCCTTCATGATCTAAGATGAGCTATGACTGTCACATGTCTGTAACAGGAGGAAGGCAGAATAAGGAAGGGAAGAAGGTCAGATGGTACAAGCCAACTCTCAAAGTTCTCCAAAATTATTCACAACTCTTTTTTTGAGGGCTGGGTGGGGTGCACAACACAGTCATACTTCACTACAAAGGAGATTAAGAAATGTGGTTTTTCACTTGGAGTCATCACATGCCCAGATGAAAATGTTGTTAGTATGGGGAAAAGGTGAGAAAGGATTTGGGGACACTAGCTGTCTCTGCCACACTATCTGTGTGACCGTAACCACTTTATGTCCTTGATTTCTCATCTATAAAATGGAGACAATAATAGAATCTTCCATTATAAGGTTACTGTGAACATGAAATGGTAGTAATCAACATAGAGAGGTTAGCAAAGTGCCTGGCATACAATTAAATACCCAACACATGTAAACATTTTTCTTCAGATTTTTTTCTCTTACTAATTTCCTTCTAACTGTTAAAAATTGTATAAGCAATTTTGTTCCCTTTTGTTTATCTATTCTTTTCCAAATCCCAAATTATCTGCATAGTGTAAACAGATCTTTACAAATCACTGCTTTCAGCAAGGCCCCTCTTCTTATTAATGTTCCTGCCAAAATACACAAACATGTACACACACTTACACAAACACACAAATACACACACACACTCAGTCTTTCTCTCAAATAAAACTTTAGTGGCATCCCACTGCCTAAATTCAAGTGCACACTCCTATTTTAAAGGTATGCCATAATCACTTACAACTCCTCTTTCTTTATTTCCCTAATACCTTTCCAAAGGTGTCACCCACTATGAGCCAATGTGGATAATGCTAACAATGATAAAAAATGGTAACCACCAAAAGTATTAAATTAATAGAGGCTATCACTGTTTGAAAGTTTTTTGTCATTGCCAGGTAACATGCCAAGTGTCTTACTCATTTTAATCCTCATAATAATACTTTGATGTTATCATTATTATCCTGATACGGTTTATATGTTTGTTCCCTCCAAATCTCATGTTAAAATATAATCTCCAGTGTTGGGGTGGGGCCTAGTGGGAGGTACTGGGTCATGGGGGGCAGACCCTCATAAATGGCTTAGCACCATCCCTTTGGTGATCAGTGATTTCTCACTCATCTAGGTTCACAGATCTGGCTGTGTGAAAGAGTGTGGTGCCTCTCCACCCTGCTTGCTCTCTTTCATCATGTGATGCGCTGGCTCCCCTTCACCTTCTGCCATGACTGAAAGCTTCCTGGGGTCCTCACCAGAAGCAGATGATGGTGCTATGCTTCATGTACAGCCTCCCGGATCATGTGACAAAATAAACGTACTTTCTTTATAAATTACCCAGTTTCAGGTATTCCTTTATATCAATGCAAGAATGAATTAACACATATCCACATATTATAGATTACAATTAAAGCTTAGAAAGATTATATTCCAAGTCACACAGTAAATATACGGCAATGCTGAGACTGGAGCACAGGTCTGTTGGTCTCAAAAACTATGTGTTTAACCAGTGTGACATCTTTCTTATTGTAAAAACATGCCATCTGCTTTCTCTCTACATTTACCTTAAAATTCCTTTTCTAATCAAATCCTGCAGAGTTGCATTAAGGTCTGCCTCATTTGTGATCTCTACTACGAAGCTCTCATCAACTAATAACAATGATAGCAAACAGCCAAATAGCACTTATACTGTTATAATACTACATTGTTGTTAAGACACATATACTAACTCTTTAATCCTCAAAACAACCCCTATAACTTAGACCATAATTATCCTCATTTAAAACTGCTAAGCCATATTACTACTCATTCATCTTCCATAATTCATTTCCCCTCTAACAAAATATACTCTTCCTTTATCCTTTATTTAGATATTAAATCACAGCCTTTTATTATGAAACCATTTTATAAATTAAAATATAAGGCATGAGATAAATGGCTAACCCAAATGTGACCTACACATATAACAGAATAATATTCAGTCATAAAAAGAAATTAAATTTTGACATATGCCACAACATGGATGGACCTGGAAAACATTATGCTTAGTGAAATAAGGCAGATATAGAAGGAAAATAATGTATAATTGTACCTATATGAAGTACTTAGAATAGGCAAATTCATAAAGACAAAGTAGAGTAGGTTACCAGGGGCTGTGGGGAGAGGTAGAAGGGTGGGAGTTATTGTTTAATGGGCATAGTTTTTGTTGGGGATAATGATAAAGTGTTGGATATAGATAGTGGTAATGGTTATACAACACTGTTAACATATTTAGTGTCACTGAATTATACACTTATCAGTGTAATTATACACTTATCAGTATACAATATGTATACACAGAGTATAATGATAAATATTATGTTTTACCACAATAAAAAATATCAGGCACATTACATTATAGTCATACTTCATAGACTCTTGAAGGCTGATGAAGCTTTTCTGGGACTGGGAGATGCTAGAAAATTTTCTACATAGTTGTTTCATACTCTTTTCAAACCTGTGGCCAATAGCAAATGAAAACTATCATAACTGTAAAACACCTAAACAATAAATCCACTAACCAGGCCTTGCTTTCCCAACATGATCAATAGTGCCATCAGGAAAAAACTCTTGCACATAAATACAAAAGACTCTTAGTACGGTCTTGTTTAATTAAACTCTACGTTCAAGGCCTCGCAAAGACTCAAATACATATGGAATTTTTGCAATTACTTCAATAGGTATTCAAGGACAAGTCTATAATCTCCATTTTATAAATGAAGAATATAAGGCATAAAGAGAAGAAGTGATACTGTCTCAGTCACTCTGTAAGTATACACTGAAAGCTATGGTTCCTTGCCTAACAGGGAATCATAAGTTGCTGGATTATGCAGTCTTAAAAAATGCCACAAAACATCAACCATGACACTAATTCTATCAGAGACTAAAGCAGAGCAGGGTGAATAACAATTACCACCAGAAGTTCTCCTCCACCTTTCCTCCCTATAGCATCCAACAAGCTCCCCAAATTAAAAGAAAAAACGAAATTAAAACAAACAAACAAAAAAACTCTTTGTAGGTGAAACTACAGCTCTCCAGCCAGATCTTTCTCCGTCTCCCACCCCTCACTTCCTCTCCAGTTACTGACAAACAGCAAATTGGAATTTCTTCTCTTGCTCTCTGCTTAACTTCTATTGGTGATACAAATAGCTAACAACAATGAAATTACCAAAAGCTTGACACCACAGAAAAAAGACTCAATAAAAAGTAAAGTATTAGCCTGGGCAACGTGGTAAAACCTAATTTCTACAAAAATTAGCTGGATGTGGTGGCATGTATGTGCCTGTGGTCCCAGCTACTTGAGGAACTGAGGTGGGAATATCACTTGAGGCCGGGAGGTCAAGGCTGCAGTGAGCAAGGTATTGCCACTGCACTCCAGACTGGGTAACAGAACCAGAACCTGTCTCAAAAAAAAAAAAAAAAAAATGTAAAGGATTCACCAACTGTAAGTATCACTGAGATATCTTTGTATTTTTTGGAATGAATTGTAAAGAAATTTAACCTAATCAGGAATGAGAAATTATTAATACAATGTTATACAACAAATCAACAATTACCTGTCTGAAAACATTTATTGCATTTTGCATTTATTTAAAATGCTGGTGTTTAAGCTATACAAACCAGCACAACTTTGTTTGGTATTTAAAATTTAACTTCAGATGTGCTAGGAAAATTCCAAACTGCGTCAAGTCCAGACAGTGAAAACCTTATAAATATTATGACAATCAGCTTAATATTAACATACGTAAAGGAATTCAGGGGAGAACATAAGAGAAAGTAGAAGCCAAGATAAGCTACAGACAGGGGTCATAAATGAAGAAGAAAGTAACTAGTCAAACAAAAAACAAGTGGGGCAATTAGCTGGAAACCAAGAAAGCAGAGAATACTGCAATGAAGTTATTGATAATTAAAATCTAAGGAAGCAAAACCCCTCTATTAGGAATAGATGATATAGTATGTCAATGTACAGCCACGTATATTAATTAAGTGGAGTGAAAGTAGGGAGATATGGGGAAAGCCACGTTTCATTACACAGGTGTCTTAAGAGTAGAAGACATCTGTTAGATTAGAATAAAATTGATTCCAGCCCCAGCTCTTTTATGTTCTCATGCATAAAACACCTAATGACTTTAGAAAACTCACATATTCCACCAAACCCATCCCATCTAATAATCCCTTCTTCCAATCTATTAAACCACGAATCCCTCACTAAATGTGACCTCTATCTTCAAAGCATACTGCCTGCATACTCAATAACAAATGCTCTCTGTCCTTTTAAAAAGAATTATTAAAGTTATGGCAAATATTTGATATTCTAGGAGAAAATGATCACAATACTCAAGAAGATACATAGCATGATATTATAAAATAACTTTTTTCGGGCAGGGGGGAGTTGTATTGTATTTGGGAACTAGAAGACAGCTAATCCTTGGTATGTGTTCAGGGTGGCCCACCTTATTCAGGTATACTACTTTTAAAACAATTTTCCTATCCATAGGATCTAGAGAATTCTAAAAATATTAAATAAGTTTTTTTCTCCTCTAATTTTACATATATTTCACATCTCTGAAGTTGACATCTCTAAGCCAGGAAAATGCTTTCCAAGGCACTTGGGCTGCCTGAAATCCAACCAGAGTCCCTGAATTACATCTATCTACTCTGCCCAGGGGATCTGAGGTGTTTCAAACAAGTAGGAAAAAGAGTACAGGAAGCAGAATAAGAGTCATTGAAAATATCAGAATCAGACACAGTCAAGTTTAACCCTGGCAGCCTACTTTGCCAGATGTGTGAGCTGAAAAAGTTACTTGTCTTCTCTGTGTTTCACTATACACAACTGTAAAATGGTGATAATAATAGTTGTATCTTATGGGTTGCTGTGAGGATTAAACAAAGCAACACATGCAAAGCACCTGGTAGAGTAGCTGATATCCTAAATGGTAAATATTAACTGCATACAAAGGAGTTCAATAATTAGTTGCAAGCTGATCAATCATAATATATGTGACAGATCTAACAGAACCAGTATGTCTCAGGGGAAAAAAATGGGAATAAAAATTTTATCTTGAGATTTACCAATCTTGTTTGTGGTTTTCCAAAAAGAAAAATAAGGAAACGATAACTGTTAGATATGATATGAGATTAAAAAGATTTATAATCATCTTTGTGTTTTGGGAACAATGATATACCATAAATAGAAAATTATACTAAAATGTGCATTTCTAAGAAGCAAGAAGAGGAGACTTGCTGGGGCACACAAACTCTGATGGATACCCCTTATTACTACAAGGCAGAGCTTTGCAGGAGCTGGAGTAACCATCCCAGGGAAGGCATTGAAAGTAATAAATATTTTGAAAAAGGCATAATTTTTTTTAGAGGTCATGTTTTCTACTAGTGGCAAGACCTGGGGTAACAACATTTTTTTCTGTGACTTTAATCTCTGGCTGGAGTTAAATGTGTAGCCTGGGTAGATGCCAATTCAACAGCTTTCCCCCCATTCATTCATTTCTGTACAATTTTGCGGACCAGAACAGAAAAGGTATATTCTGTGCCACTGGAGATGCTAGCATTAGGGAAAGAAACAAATTAAGTGAAATCATTTTCCCCCATTTTACTCTGAAAACAACTATTACACATTCACACCTTTGTACTTCATTGCTATGTAATGAATTAAAGAGGCCAAAAATTGAGTTGATTTTGGAACCCTTCGGTTATCACAGTAATAATTAGTGTTTATTACATGGAAAACATTTTCTACATGCTTTGCATACGCTAATTTATTTAGTCCTTGCAAGTTTTAATATTATCCTCATTTTATGGTTAAGAGAACTGGGGCACACAAAGGATAAGTGACTTGCCTTAGATGACAGAAAAGTAGAGCCAGGATTTGAACCAAAGCAGTCTGGCTCCAAAGTTTCTGCTCTTTTAATTAATGTACTATATTGTATATCCATATGGCAGCCAGCACAAATATATGCAATAACTGTTAATTTCATATCTAATTAACATACTTGTGCAAATTGAAATCTTTTTTCATCAAAGCTTTCACATAAAACCAAACATAAATTTTAAGTTTAAGCACTCACTACAGCTCACGACTCAGTGCATAGCAAAGGATGCACTGTCAAACTCTAAAACACTCTAATATGTTGAAAAACTTTTGTGGTAAAGAGCCAGATAGTAAATATTTCAAGCTTGGTGGCCAGTACTTATGTCTACAGGAATTACTCATCTCTGACTCTGTAGCACAAAAGTAACTACAGATGATATGTAAATGATAATATCAAACTTCATTTTTATTTCTTTTTTTATTATACTTTAAGTTCTGGAGTACATGTGCAGAACGTGCAGTTTTGTTACATAGGTATACACGTGCCATAGTGGTTTGCTGCACCCAACAACCCACCATCTACATTAGGTATTTCTCCTAATGTTATCCCTCTCCTAGCCCCCCAGCCCCTCACAGATCCCAGTGTATGATGTTCTCCTCCCTGTGTCCCTGTGTTCTCACTGTTCAACTCCCACTTACGAGTGAGAACATGCGGTGTTTGGTTTTCTGTTCTTGTGTTAGTTTGCTGAGAATGATGGTTTCCACCTTCATCCATGTACTTGCAAAGGACATGAACTCATCCTTTTTTATGGCTAAATAGTATTCCGTGGTGTATACGTGCCACATTTCTTTATCCAGTCTATCACTGATGGACATTTGGGTTGGTTCCAAGTCTTTGCTATTGCGAATAGTGCCGCAATAAACATACGTGAGCATGTGTCTTTATAGCAGAATGACTGATAATCCTTTGGGTATATACTGAGTAATGGGATTGCTGGATCAAATGGTATTTCTAGTTCTAGATCCTTGAGGAATCACCACACTGTCTTCCACAATGGTTGAACTAATTTATACCCCCACCAACAGTGCAAAAGCTTTCCTGTTTCTCTACATCCTCTCCAGCATCTGTTGTTTCCTGACCTTTTAATGATCGCCATTCTAAATGGTGTGAGATTGTTATCTCATTGTGGTTTTGATTTGCATTTCTCTAATGACCAGTGATGATGAGCATTTTTTTCATATGTTTGTTGGCTGCATAAATGTCTTTCTTTTGAGAAGTGTCTGTTCATATGCTTTGCCCACTTTTTGATGGGATTGTTTGTTTCTTGTAAATCTGTTTAAGTTCTTTGTAGATTCTGGATATTAGCCCTTTGTCAGATGGATAGATTGCAAAAATTTTCTCCAATTCTGTAGATTTCCTGTTCCTTCTGATGATACTGTCTCTTTCTGTGCAGAAGCTCTTTAGTTTAATTAGATCCCATGTGTCAATTTTGGCTTTTGTTGCCATTGCTTTCAGTGTTTTGGACATGAAGTCTTTGCCCACCCCTATTTCCTGAATGTTATTTCCTAGGTTTTCTTCTAGGATTTTTATGGTTTTAGGTCTTATGTTTAAGTCTTTAATCCATCATGAGTTAATTTTTGTATAAGGTGTAAGGAAGGGGTTCAGTTTCAGTTTTCTGCTTATGGCTAGCCAGTTTTCCCAACACCATTTATTAAATACGGAATCTTTCCCCCATTGCTTTTGTCAGGTTTGTCAAAGATCAGATGTTTGTAGATGTGTGGTGTTATTTCTGAGGCCTCTGTTCTGTTCCATTGGTCTATGTATCTGTTTTGGTACCAGTACCATGCTGTTTTCGTTACTGTAGCCTTGTAGTATAGTTTGAAGTAAGGTAGCATGATGCCTCCAGCTTTGTTCTCTTTGCTTAGGATTGTCTTGGCTATGTGGGCTCTTTTTTGGTTCCATATGAAGTTTAAAGTAATTTTTTCCAATTCTGTGAAGAAAGGCAATGGTAGCTTGATGGGGATAACATTGAATCTATAAATTACTTTAGGCAGTATGGCCATTTTCACGATACTGATTCTTCCTATCCATGAGCATGGAATGTCTTTCCATTTGTTTGTGTCCTCTCTTATTTCCTTGAGCAGTGGTTTCTAGTTCTCCTTGAAGAGGTCCTTCACATCCCTGTAAGTTTTATTCCTAGGTATTTTATTCTCTTTATAGCAATTGTGAATGGGAGTTCACTCATGATTTGGCTCTCTGTTTTTGGTGCATAGGAATGCTTGTGATTTTTGCACATTGATTTTGTATCCTGAGACTTTGCTGAAGTTGCTTATCAGCTTAAGGAGATTTTGGGCTGAGACAATGGGTTTTTCTAAATATACGATCATGTCATCTGCAAACAGAGACAAACTTTATTACAAAACACAAGGCAGGCCAGATTTGACCTCAGGGCCTTGTTTGTTCACCCTGGCTCTAAATTTTATTTACACACATAAGTAACTCCACTGTGGCAAAATAAGACTAATTGCATTACAAGAAGTATGTTTCCGTAAATAATTTATGTGATTTAAAGCAGTGGTTCTCTGAAATCATGTCCTTTTGAAGCAACATGGATGCAGCTAGAGGCCATTATCCTAAGCAAATTAACACGGGAACAGAAAACCAAATACCACATGTTCTCACTTATAATCAGGAGCTAAACACTGAGTACACATGGGCATAAAGATGGGAACAACAGACACTAAGGACTACTAGAAGGGGGAGGGTGCGAAGGGGAGGATGGCCAAAAAACTACTTATTGGGTACTATGTTCACTACCTGGGTGATGAGACCATTTGTACATTACACCTCAGCATTGCACAATTTACTCATGTAACAATCTGCACATGTATCCCTTGAAGCTAAAATAAAAGCTGAAAAAAGTAAATAAATAAAGTAGTGGTTCTCCATCAGCAGCAATTCTGCCTCCCAGAATCATCACAATTAACACGACTTACAAAGTAGATTCCCCTGCCCCTATTCTCAGCTTACTTATTTACTGTGTCACCCACCAGTCGCAATATTCTTTTCTATTCACAGTTCTTAAATTCTTAACTCATAGGATGGGGCACCCACCAGTTGCATAACTTTGATGTGACTGAAAAAAGAACTGATATATGGGACTACCATGAATACTACACTTGGGTATATTCTGAGGGGGTGAAGGTGGAGACACAGTTTAGTGCAGTCTGCAGGATGAGGAAACGTGGTAGAAAAAAAAGTCTTCTTGACACAGAAACCCAAAAGGGAACTGCAATTGTCAATACTGAAATACAGCTTTCATAAAAGGAAACTTTTTTTTTTTTTTTCTGAGACAGAGTCTCGCCCTGTTGCCCAGGCTAGAGTGCAGTGGCGTGGTCTCAGCTCACTGCAACCTCTGCCTCCCGGGCTGAAGCAATTGCCTGCCTCAGCCCCCCAAGTAGCTGGGATTACAGGCATGTGCCAACACGCCTGGCTAATTTTTTCTATTTTTAGTAGACACAGGGTTTCACCATGTTGGCCAGGCTGGTCTCGAACTCCTGACCTCATGATCTGCCCTCCTAGGCCTCCCAAAGTGCTGAGATTACAGGCGTGAGCCACCACACTCGGCCAAAAGGGAACTTTTTTGGATACATGTGCCTGCTCTATTCTCACAGTGCCAGGGCCACTGGTAGGTGGACTTCTGGCAGAATCAATAACCCATTATTGTTCCCAGGTCATGCTTTTGGCTTTACTAACCCTGTTTCTCATCATGAGGACTTCAATAGAACCAGAACCAAAAGAACTGACCATTTAGGAAAGACGTGAAATGGAATGGCTCAAATGAAATTATTTCTTCCACTCAATTCTCTAGTCTTATTTTCAATCTCACTCAACAGTACAAGAAAATGGACTTCTACCGTCTTGAAATTTAAAATATTTTAAAAAGGTAATATTTCCATTGAGAGAATGTTTTAAGCATATTCTTAATATGTTACCAGTCCAGCACAGTTTGGTGTCTAGAACATAAAAAGGTTATTTTAAGATACTCTATCCTAAATTATCAAAGATGCGGATAAGTCCCTTCACAATACAGTGATCTGAAGTCCCTATGCACTCTTCTTTTTGATAAAGTAAATGTTCTGTATGTGTATATACATATTTTTATGTGTGTGTCAATGCTTGGTTTTCTACAGTCTGGGCAGACCAAAGTTGAAATTTTTATTACCTTGAATAGATAAAGTTCTAAGACTTATGATAATATGAGCAATAGAAAATATAGTACCTATTTCAAAAACATATTAGTAAAATGATACTTTCAGAGTATAAAAAATGATAAAACACATGGTATTTACATTTCAGTGAATACTTAAGTAACAAAAGCATAGCTTGGAAAGGATGACTGACTAGATGCCCCTTTTCTGGAAAGGATGCCTAGGTGACCCATTCTTGACATTTTGGCAGAATCATTCATTTTAACTTACTCTGACAATAAAACTATACTGAACAGATTATTTCCAGATAGGTAATTCCTTCTTTCTCTGTCAACAGAGAGCTACCTTCAGGTTTCTTCCATTCTTTACTCTGAGAGAAATACATCTACATTTGTCTAGAATGCAAGATTCATAATGACTGAGAAAAAAACTAAAGAAAGTATCTGCCTGAACCATAAGTCTATAGATTTGTCATGTCTTTGTTTTCTTCTAGCCTCATATAATGCCCACGGGAATGAACCTCCCAACACCATGGTACTAGTAACTTTTCATTATCAGGAATGAGATATATAAGGTATTAATTAGCATGTTATGGGTAAGCAGCAGCATTTGTTTAAGAGACACAGTATGGTTAAAAAATATTCAAGAGTATCATCTCCAAATGTAACTTGAAAGCTTTTATTTGGAGTAGAGGTCCAGATACTTCTACCTTTAACCATTAATTGGTCTTCCTTTGTTTAGAAAGATCAGCCAAATCAACTATGAAGGTCAACAGAATGATAGAAGACACAGAAAGAATATTTGTCTCTCTAGGGTAACTCTTGGCAAACTTTGAAAATGAGACAAGATTAAACTGGGTAAAGCAGCAAACTTATTAAGCTATATATATTGATTCAATGGCAATTATAACTTACTCTGGCAGTAAAGCTATAAAACAGCACAAAGAATTTCCTTAGGCTGAGAGAAAACATCATGGCTTTTACAGAAAGCACCAAGTTGGCTGGCATGCAGCCCCAGGCTGGACCTTTTGAATGAAAAAGGTCAATACAACTGAACTGTGGGAAAATTAACACAGATTTTAATTGAGATATATCCGTGCCTCAAAGAGTAATACGGATGAACTGCCCTTGCCTTTATCTGATGACTTAAAATTTTTCTCTCTTCAATTTTCAAGGGAAACTCTTCAGGGAAAGGAGAATGTTTTCCTTATCCCATTCCCCTTCAGGGGATAAGGAAGCGGCTGCAAAAGGCTGCAGTGTAACTCTTTAAATTGGGAATAGTTAAAATACAAGGATTAAGCTGGAGTGCTTTCTTTTTCTTCTGAAGAAGAGTGCTCAGGTGGTAGCACTGGAACTGCCTGCCCTCTGATAACCCTGACCCCAAGTTGATGTGGTCCATGTGCTTTCCATGGCCGCATCATCTTTCTCAATCAAAAAGCAGCAGCCCTCCTGGCAGAGCAATTGTTCTTTTCCAATGTATATCCTGAAGGATGTAAAACTCTAACTCCTAAGAATGAGTCTGTATTCCTATAAGGATTTAGACAGGCAGTTTAGTCTCCAGAGGCTTAGAATTCTTGGGCAACATCTCTAGTTCATTCAAGCTTGGTATAAAGCTAAAGAAACCACTGGGATCCTAGCTTGGGCTGGCTGCCCCCATATCTGGCCATGAGAACAACAGGATGATATAATTCAGGTACAGTCTCTGATATGATCTAAGTGGAAATATTCAATGGGGTGCTAGCACCTGCTCTTACATCAAGGTTATGGTGGAGCCACAGTTCCCCAAAGTAGTAGAAGTAGAATGACGGGGATGGGGTAGGGTCACAGAAGTAAGGAGAAGAATTTCTGGAGGATACTCTGGTGGTATATAGCCTATCACTGGTTCAGGCCAGAAATGCTACCTAAGCAAGAGATACACATGGCCATCGGAATGACAGAAGTGATATTTGTATCCAGCAGATACACACTGGTATCACTCAGCCTCAATCAAGGCATCAGCAAGGCAGTTGATAATGTCCAAATTGAAGATATTAGACCTGCCATAGTCCTGAAGAGTTCATGGGGAATCTCAGGCTTGATCTTGAGTGGAACCTCCAAGCTACACTTAGGAAAATCATGGGAAATTCACAGCATTATCAAACAAGGGCAATGGCAAAGGTTGCTGCACAAGCCAGTCGGGCTGACCTTTCCAGCCACAGAAATTTGCATGCGAATGCGAGTTAGTCCCTTTGCACTAGTCATAAATGTGCCAGTTCATGTCATTCAAGAGTATATATAGATGAGATAAGATCCTTTGCAGACATATGGCATTAAAGGATGTAACAACCTACAGCTTACTGTTAGCCAGAAAGATTCCGTGACATGCTCAATTTTGGGATGGTTGAAGAATTCAGAGATGTGAATCTCCCTCTACAAAAATGCCACTAACTCATTAGTACAAATCTCCAGATTCCTCCTTCTCACCACCAATAATGTTCCCATAAGTTTGTACTCGGAGAAATGTGCACTTATCAAACTGCATAAAGCCATCACCAAAGTTGAACTTACTTCATCCATCTACAAATATTTCCAAATTTCTTGAGCCCTCACTAAAGAACTTCCTCAAGACCCAGGAAAGAAAAGTAATGTGTAATGTCTATTATTTCAACTGTGTAACCTGATCCCAGAGTTACTATTCAGGCTGCATCCTTCTTTTGGCTCTGACTCCTCAAATTTCAAGCTTTTGCCACCAGTACAACCATTTGATAAAAGAGAAGAGTACAGGATGGGGAAGAGGGAAAGAAGACTACCAAAACAGCCTCCTAACTGGCCTCCCACCTTCAGTCATCCTTTTATTTCATCCATCCTGGATAACACCAAATAAGCATTTCTAAAAACTTTGATTTTGTGTTATTATTTTCTACTTTTTCTTCATCAGTATATTCTAATCTTTCTAAAATGAACATATGTAATGAAATAATTTTTCAAAGTCAAAAGAGGCCAGGAGTGGTGGCTCACGCCTGTAATCCCAGCACTTTGTGGAGCCAAAGTGGGCAGATCATGAGGTCAGGAGTTCGAGAACAACCTGGCCAAGATGGTGAAACCCCATTTCTACTAAAAATACAAAAATTAGCCGGGCACAGTGGCGGGCACCTTTAATCCCAGCTACTCAGGAGGCTGAGGCAGGAGAATCGCTTGAACCTAGGAGGTGAAGGTTGCAGTGAGCCAAGATCGCGCCACTGCACTCTAGCCTTGGTGACAGAGCAAGATTCCATCTTAAAAAAAAAAAAAAAAAAAAAAGGCAAACGAACTCAGCTTTTATATTTCATTCCCACTATATGATCCAAACATAGTCCTACAATATCCAGTCCCTAATACCTTTCTTTTCTAACCATTCATTCATCTACTGTGATGAACTTTGCACTCCAAACAAACTGACATAGTCACTTCTCCTGAAAAAGAATAGGAGACATATTCTTTCCCATTCCTATAATTTCACTCTCGGTTCTCTACCATAATGTAGTCCCTAAATCCTTCCTTTATCAAAATCATCTTTACACAGAGATTCCATCACCTTTGAGACTATCAATATCCACTGCAAACCAAAAGTGATCTTTTTTCTCTTCAAAACTCTTCCCCAAATTGAGAGTCAACACTGATAATTTCCTTCCATGAATTATTAGTCTTTCTATGTATATCTATATCTTCACTATTCACAGTAAACATTAAAGAAAGGGAACATACATTTTTTTTGGGGGGGGGACATACATTTTTCTTGTTACATAATAAATGCTCGACAAATGTTTGTTGAATGAATCCTGAGACATACTTACAACACTACATATAATTAGACCAGGTGATCAATAAATTTTTGATGCTTACGTGATTAAGGGAAATAAATGATTGCAAGGGCTTTTGCCATAAAGCTAATGATGGGTATTCTGTCTATATTAAAAACACATTAGAGAATGTTTTAAAGCTTAAAGAATGTTGTTATTACTCAAGAGTAGGTTAAGCAGTGATGAGTAACAGCTGAAATTGAGTATGAAAGATAATTTGTACCTTGGCATACATGTAATCCTTTTTAAATGGCCCTAAATTTATAGTCTATTCCATTTATTTAATTTGTGTTATTACTTTTCAATATACTTCTCTAAAAATAAGAATTCTCATTTATACAGAAAATATAAAATTGTGAAAGTATGCTTGCTGTTTTCTTTATCTGCATTAACCATAACTAAGGGAACTCTATCAGGACACACTGCAATGTCAGATGAGCCATCCTTTTGCTTATTCTAACTGTTGGAAACCTAATTAAAGAGCAATTCCTTACATGTTGGCCTTGGAAACTCCAAGTGTAAGCTTAATTACAACAATGCAAAAAAGATTAGGAAATTATCATTGTTTATTATTACCTCAAGTGTTATTAAGTATCAAAAAGTAAACATGCTTTCTGCTTATGTCACCAACTAAATTTAAAAATGACTTTCATTTTCTTCCTTTAAAACAAGTATGATCTGTGATATGTGATAAGACTCACCCCCCACAAACATTTTATTTTCACAGAAAATTAACTCCTTAATTTAGACAGAAAATGTTAATTTTAAACTTCTAGGAATGTGCTTTGCCTAAAATTGAGATATTATTTTAAAATATGTCTTTTCAAAGAAGGTGATACAACACGTAATTATAGTGTATAAATAAAAAACAAACACTTCATCCTATAAAACATATTATGGCATATTTTACTTTGAAATAAAAGTACTGATGTTTTAAAACATACCAATACAAAATTTCAAGGAACTCATTTACAAATGCCAAGGGGACACAGACACACTAAGATTATTTTAACTCACAGTGATTTCAGTTCTACAGCCACCAGGTTATCAAGAGGAAAATTTAACCTAATTATGAACACATTGCCAGAAACACTTCTAGACACTTCCTTTAAAAGGGAGGTAAACTTCAGATTAAGTAGGTTCAACACTCTAAAAAATAGAAAATCAAAGAAAAGGGAAATAGCCTTTCTCAAAATAGGCAAATGATAGAAGGCCCAAGTTTTTAAATTGCACCAAGAATTTGGTCCAATTTGCAAAAGTACTTATATTTGAAAAACACTGATGACAAATGAAACTGTAAAAACCTACTGAATTTGCCTTAAATCAATTCATTTTCAGACTATAGGAGGAGTAACTAAAACAGCACAGAATTGAGGTTGCCATTAAAGTTGCAATCTTTATTAATCTTGAAGAGGAGGAATATTGATTGTAATTCCTTCTAATTCTATGCTTCTTTATTTTTTTGAGACAAGGTCTCACTCTGTCACCCTGGCTGCAGTGCAAGTGGCATGATCTCAGCTCACTGCAGATTCGACCTCCCCGGCCCAAATTCTATCACCTCAGCCCTGCCAAGGAGCTGGGACTACAGGTGTGTGCCACCACGTCCAGCTAATTTTTGCAGAGATGGGATTTCGCCATATTGCCCAGGCTGGTTTCAAACTCCTGGGCTCAAGAAATCTGCCTGCCTCTGCCTTCCTAAGTGTTGGAATTACAGGCATCAGCCACTGCGCCTGACCCTAATTCTATGATTCTTGTTGAGGATTTCTGCATTATGATTCTTACTGAAAATGTTTACATGTACATTTGTGAGAAATAATGGTCTATAGTTTTATTTTTCTGTACAATCTGTCTGTTTTAGAGTAATAACATTAGCTTCATAAAATCAGTCAGGAAGTGTTCCCTCCTCTTCTCTTTTCTGGAAGAGATTTTGTGAACTTGAAGTTAATTTCTCCTAAAATGTGTGGTAAAATTCACTAGTGAAATATCTTGGCTGGGATAACTGGCTAGCCATATGCACAAGATTGATACTGGATGCCTTCCTTATACCACATACAAAAATCAACTCAAGATGGATTAAAGACTTAAATGCAAAACGTAAAACTGCAAAAACCCTGGAAGATAACCTAGGCAATACCATTTGCGGTGTAGGCACAGGTAAATATTTCATGACAAAGATGCCAAAAACAATTGCAAGAAAAGCAAAAATCAACAAATGGGATCTAATTAAACTAAAGAGCTTCTGCCCGGCAAAACAAACTATCAGCAGATTAAATAGACAACCTATAGAATGGGAGAAAATTTGTGCAAACTATGCATCTGACAAACGTCTAATATCCAGCATCTATAAAGAACTTAAACAAATTTATAAGAAAAAAACAACCTCATTAAAAAGTGGGCAAAGAACATGAACAGTTACTTCCCAGAAGAAGACATATATGTGGCCAAAAATAATATGGAAAAAAGCTAAACATCACTGATCATTACATTAGAGATATGCAAATTGAAACCACAATGAGATACCATCTCACACCAGTCAGAATGGCTGTTATTAAAAAGTCAAAAAATAACAGATGCTGGTGAGGTTATGGAGACAAACGAACGCTTATACACTGTTGATGGGAGTGTAAATTAGTTCCACCATTGTAGAAGATAGTGTGGTGAATCCTCAAAGACCTAAAGACAGAAATACCATTTGACTCAGCAAACCCATTACTGAGTATATACCCGGAGGAATATAAATCATTCTGTTATAAAGACGCATGCACGCATATGTTCACTGCAGCACTATTCACAAAAGCAAACACATGGAATGAACCTAAATGCCCATCAGTGATAGACTGGATAAAGAGTATTGGTATTTCATGGTGTATAGGATCTCATTCTTTTTTATCTCATTCTTTCCATGGTGTACATATACACCATGGAATACTATACAGTCATAAAAAAGAATGAGATTATGTCCTTTGCAGGGACATGGATGGAGCAGGAGGCCATTATCCTTACTAAACTAACACAAGAACAGAAAACCAAATACCACATGTTCTCACTTATAAGTGGGAGCTAAATGATGAGAGCACAAGGACACATAGAGGGAAACAACATACTGGGGCCTTTTGGAGGGTGGAGGCGGAGGGTGGAAGGAGGGAGATAATCAAGAAAGACAACTAATGAATACTAGGCTTAATACCTGGGTGATGAAATAATCTATACAAAAACCCCCACCACACAAGTTTACCTACGTAACAAACTTGCACTTGTACCCTTGAACTTAAATTAAAAAATCATTTATCACATAAAATATAAATCCAGATGAAGATCATGTGCCATGCCAAAATGGAAAGGATAAAATGAATGTTGTTAAACATGTATTAATATCTTTTTTAAAAAAGAAGAAATATCTTGACACGGTGATTTCTTTTTCAGGAGCTTTTAATTTCTTCAATGGTTAAATAGCTATTCAGATTGTCTATTTCACCTTGGTTGAATTTTGGTAGTCTGTGGTTTTCAAAGAATTGAGATTCATTTCTTCTAAATTATGGGTATCAAGTTGTTTATAGTGTTTTCTTGTTAACTTTTTAATGGCTGCAGGATCTGTACTGATATCCACTATTCCATTTCTGATATTGGTGATTCAGGCCTTCCCTTCTTAGATTTTTCAGTCTTGTCAAAGGTTTACCAATTTTATTAATTTTTTTTTCCAAAAATAGCTTTTGTTTCATGGTTTTTCTCTGTTGTTTTTGTATTTTCAATTTCTTCGATTTCTGTTTTTGTCTTCATTATTTATTTATTTATGCTTACTTCGGGTTTATTTTCTCTTCTTTTTCTAGTCTCTTACATAGAAACTTAGTAGTTCCTTGAGAAAGAAACTTACACTATTGATCTGAGAACCTTCCTCATTTCAAAAGTGAGCACTTACTGCTGTACACTTCCCTGTCAGCACACATGTGGGAGGTTTAACTACCTCCCACATATTTTGATATATATTATTTTCATTCAGTTGTATGTATTTTTAAATTTCCTTTGAGACTTCCTCTTTGACCCATGGATCATTTTTCCCCTGTTGTCTGTTACTGATTTCTACTTTGAATCTACTGTGGTCAGACAACATACTCTATATGATTTCAATTCTTTTAAATATGTTGAGGCTTGTTTAATGGCCCAGGATGGGATCTACCTTGGTGATGTTCCACTCATATTCTACTCTTGTTGGGTAGAGTGGTTTTTGTTTTGTTTCTTTTGTTTTTTTGAGATGGAGTCTTGCTCTGTCGCCCAGGCTGGAGTGCAGTGGTGCGATCTCAGCTCACTGCAACCTCAGCCTCCCAGGTTCAAGCAATTCTCCTCCCTCAGCCTCCCGAGTAGCTGCGACTACATGCGTGTGCCACCATGCCAGGCTAATTTTTTGTGTGTATATATATATGTGTGTGTGTGTATGTATATATATATATATATATATATGTGTATATATATATATGTATATATACATGTATATATATGTGTATATATATGTGTGTATATATATGTGTATATATATATGTGTGTGTGTGTATATGTGTGTGTGTATATATATATATATATATATATATATATATATATATATTTAGCAGAGACGGGGTTTCACCGTGTTAGCCAGGATGATTTCAATCTCCAGACCTTGTGATCCACCTGCCTTGGCCTCCCAAAGTGCTGGGATTACAGGTGTGAGCCACCGCGCCCAGCTTGGTAGCGGGTTTTATAAATGCCAGTTAGATTCTGTAGGTTGGTTGTGTTACTCAGATCTTTTATATCCTTGCTGACTTTCTATCTAAAAGTTCTATCAGATGCTAACTAGGAATCTTGGGTCCATTTAGATCCTGGCCTCTAAAGCAGCCACATCAGACATACTTTGTTCTTTTGTCCATTGAATTTTTAATGACAAATAATGAGTCAGTATGCAGAACATACAAGAGTAGTCGCTGGCTGACTTTCAGAAGCCTAGGACTATCGTTGATTTGCTAATTTGCAGAAGATAGTTACTGGAGTAAGGCTGTTGTTGACTCGATGATTTTCAGAAGCATGGCCACTGGAGTGAGGCTGTCACTGATTGGCTGATTTTCACATCATGTGTACTGATCAAAAGTGATTTCTAATTACTGGTGATTACTTATTCATGACTTGGGACTTTGTTCAAAGAATAGTCCTTTCCTTTCTTGAATGTAAAAATTAACTACTTTTAATTACCAATCCTCCTTTTGGTTTTCCTCAGAAAAATCTGCTAGAGACAACATAATGGATTATCTAGATATATATTTGTGGAGGTATAATTCTCAACTAGTGTTACCATTTTAAGTGACTGAGGTACCAATTACTGTAGTAGAAAAATAATTCTAAATGTGAAATTTTAATAATTTATTTTAAAATGTTATTATTATTGTTAGAGATGGGGTTTCACTATGATGCCCAAGCTGAAGTGTAGTAGCTATTTACAGTATGATCACAGTGCACTGCAGCCTTCAACTCATGGGCTCAAGCAATGCTCCCACCTCAGCCCCCCAAGTAGCTGGATCTACAGGGAATGCCACTGCACCTGGCTTACTCTCAGCTGTCATAAGATTATTTCCAAAACCTTGGGTGAGGCTGAAGGAAGGGATTATAAACTGTCTTGTCTTCTGCAGCTTGTCTTCTAGCTAGTTTTAATCTCAAGGGTTTCAGACTGGTATAGTGCTCAACCCCTATTTAATGGTAATGTTAATTCTTCTATACTATTTGTAGGAAAAAAATTAAGCTTCTGAAATTATTCTTGGTTTAGGGAATTCAGCAACAAGTTGGCTTGGCTTTTCAATAGTTTTACTTCTTCAGCTTGTTCCATTTCTTGAGATCTCAAGAGCTATTACTAAAAGTCTCAGATTTTTACTTCATCTCTACATACTTCTAAAATTTAGCCTGGAATGGTGGCCAACTTTGTAGAGACTTGCAGTGGCTTTTCTCTTTACAAGAATGCTATGTTACAATATCTAAATAGGATTGCATTCCAATGTTTAAAATCCAGTCTCCCCCTTTAATGCTTTCTTATGTTATCTTTCAAGTACCTACAGCCACCACTTTCCCATCCTCTGAAAGAAAATTTTGTTGAGTTTACTTTCTATAATTTACATTAAGAAAAAATTG
Organism: Homo sapiens; assembly: GCF_000001405.40. Classification (NCBI taxonomy): domain Eukaryota; kingdom Metazoa; phylum Chordata; class Mammalia; order Primates; family Hominidae; genus Homo; species Homo sapiens. The sequence goes on along the minus strand of NC_000001.11, from coordinate 174,549,310 downwards.
AAATAGTCAAAACAATACTCTACCCTGGAGAAATAACCCTGCTTCTTCTATCTCCTTTTGAGATCTACTAGTATACTGAAAAAATGTAATCTGTTTAAGAAGTATAGGGTACAGGATACCAATAAGAGTCAGCAGAAATGGCTAACATAGTAGCCTTTGGCTTTCCTGTCATTTTTGAGTAGGATATAACCTATCAGATGAATCTGAGGAAATTAAACTAGTTTTCAGTATCCACTTTGCACTCACACAGGACCCAAGTTCATGGTTTTAGATACACTGAAAATAACATATGCTGTATCCTATCTACCTATACAATTTCAAGTATCGGCCACTAAATTTTTAAATCTTCATGGGATAAGCACAATAGTAAAACATTTTCATAATTGAAAAATCATTAAAAACTTTAGATCACTATTGTAGTTTTAAATTATTTTCTAAGCCCTTTTTGGTACTTCTAACTAAGCTTGTAAATATGCTACCTAGAGATTCAGGTATACTTTTAGTGTTACTTAAACCTATGCAGCTAAAATAAACATCAAATAATTACTGAATGTTAAACTTAAAAATCAGGAAAGTGGTAAGGATATAGAATCTGAAGTTTCAGTGGCAGTTAAACTTTCCAACCAAAATGAATAATTAAGCAAAATGAGGGGAACCTAGCCAAATACTGAAATATTGGAAGATGGGTGGTATGCAGAAGCCCTCTGCAAATTTCTGTGGGTATGAAAAAAGTACATCTCACAAAAAGATGAAAAATAGTGATTTTACTGTTTTGAAAAACTTACAGAATAATTTCATTTGTACACTGCCATGAGAAAATCAGGTTATAAAATTTATCTCCAATCTTAGGCATATAATATGATATATCCATATATAAGCAAAAGCAAGTTCAGAGTTTCTTCATTATTTCCACTTATAGTTTTAAATATATGGTAGACAGGACTTTTAAAGTAAGGGTAATAGAGCACTTTAAAAACAAAAACTATCATTTTACAAATGGATAAATTAAGAGGGTAAACAACTTAACTAATGTTATATAGCAAAGAGTTTAAAAACAGAATCTTAGATTACTTGGCTTCAATTCTGTAGATTATGCTTTCTCTTAATTACCTTCACCCTGAGAGATTATGCACACAGGTTGTAAAATGAACATATGTAACATCAACCTGGGAAATGATCCATAAAGTTGCTTCTAAACTGCAACCTCCCATGCAAAGAAAGCACTCATGCTAAGCTGCCAAGAGCACTGACGCATTTAACAGGCATTAAGCCTCTTAATAAGTTGGTGTTTTAGGACATATTTGTACAATTCAGGCTCAGGAAAGGAACTAAAACAAAAAGTATAAGTAATCAGAACATCAAGTCTAATGTCAAATTGCAGCTGGTTACAGGGTGTCATGGAGACCTTCATAGACCCTTCATATTTAACTAGGTGAATAGTCTGTCTCGGTGTAAGACTAAATTTCATCTGTTGCTAAAAGACAAAATAAATATGATTATTTTCAAATACTATGTAATAGGTAATAAACTGATGCATCTAACGTCAATTTAAATACAAATACAATGACTCCATATCCAAACTTTGCAGATAAATTCCCCATGTCTAAAAGAACACAGAATTACTTTCAATTTACACACATTTAAAGAAAGTTAAGCCCTATGGTATAAGATATATTTCTTTTCTTCTTTTCTTTTAGACAGTGTTTCACTCTGTTGCCTAGGATGAAGTACAGTAGCACAATCACAGCTCACTGCTTCCTCAACTTCCTGTGCTCAGGTGATTTTCCCACCTCAGCCACCTAAGTACCTGGGCATACAGGCACACACTATCACATCCAGCTAATTTTTTATTTTTTTGCAGAGATGAGGTCTCGCTACATTGCCTAGGCTGGTCTCAAACTCGTAGGCTCAAGTGATCCTCCTGCCTCGGCCTTCCAAAGTACCAGGATTACAGGTGTGAGTCACTGCACCCAGGCTTACTTGCTCTTTTCATCAGCTCTCTACCACCTTAAAAATAATCAACGCTCACATTCACTGAGAACTGGTCTGCTAAATGCCAGGTGGTAGCAGGAAAAGGCTACTATAATTATACCCCTAACTTTTTACACACAAAGAAACATCACAGCTAGCAAGATCAAGAATGAAGATTTGAATACAGGTCTGTTTAATTTTAAATCTCTATGTCAAAACTCAGTTTTAAAAAGGAAATTTAATAAAATCCCTATTGGCCTTGTGTTAATTTAACTGCTTTATCTTTTTTTTTTTTTTTTTTTTTTTTTTTGAGACAGAGTCTCGCTCTTTCGCCCAGGCTGGAGTGCAGTGGCGCGATCTCTGCTCACTGCAAGCTCCGCCTCCCGGGTTCACGCCATTCTCCTGCCTCAGCCTCCCAAGTAGCTGGGATTACAGGTGCCCGCCACCACGCCCGGCTAATTTTTTGTATTTTCAGTAGAGACGGGGTTTCACCGTGTTAGCCAGGATGGTCTCGATCTCCTGACCTCGTGATCCGCCTGCCTTGGCCTCCCAAAGTGCTGGGATTACAGGCGTGAGCCACCGCGCCCGGCCAACTGCTTTATCTTAATGCAAAGGATGCAATTTACTAAAAACAAATAGCTAAACAAATAATCTTTTCCTCAATTTTTGTAAAGCAATTCTAATGGTTCTAATTCCCTTACCTAGCAAGGACTGAAAGAGGCATCTTTAAAAGCACCTTCTATGGAAAAGGATTCAGAGAAAAGTTCCTATTCCCCCTTATCACAAATGGCACATTACAGGAAAGCAAAGAGCTGATAAATGTACAGAACTGGGTGTTATCTAAAATATATGAACAACAAATATCTAAACTTTGTTTATACTAAAACTTTGGCTTAATACAGCCATTCTCTAGAGCAGTGGTTTAATAGTCTATTTTTTAAAAATAAAACTGAGTCACTATCTCAATATATTTATACCTAATAGGCTACCTACATACACTACTATCAACCTGTACTTTAAAATTTTTTAGATAAAATATATGTAAGTAGGTGGTCTAATATGTTCTCTCACCCACTTGGTTATAGTATACTCTTCACTTTGGACATCATTGATCTAAAGATGTGAAATTTTTCCAGTTTCTACTTTTTCTAGTATTGCTTCCAGACCCAACTTTAGAGCAGCTTAAAGGACTTTTTTTCCTAATACTCGGAAGAGCTACCAGAATATCAAATTCAAGAGTCTAAAGGAGTTTACAGGCTAGATCTAAAAAAGCCTTATTTTCTTTAAATTTCCACTTAGATTTATCTTCTTAAGATTCTTTTTTTCTTTATGACAGAACCTTTCTACTTAAAACTTTCTACTTTAATGCTAAAATAGATGCCATATAGATTGCAAGCAACATGTGTGAAAAAGAGAAATAACAGAACATTGCAAGTATAACCAAAGCTAATATTTATTAAATAATACCATGCACAAAGCAATACATTAAGCATTCAAAATGTACTATGTCATTCAGTTCTCAAAAAATCCAACAGAAGCTTGGAAGCAATTAGGTAACTTCTACAAAATTACATAGGCAGCAACAGGAAGAGTGAGTATTACAACTCAGGTTTGAACCGAGGTTCCAAGATGGCCAAAAAGGAACAGCTCCAGTCTACAGCTCCCAGCGTGAGCGACGCAGAAGACAGGTGATTTCTGCATTTCCAACAGAGGTACCGGGTTCATCTCACTGGGGCTTGTCACACAGTGGGTGCAGCCCAAGGAGCAGCGTGGGGCATTGCTCACCTGGGAAGTGCAAGGGGTTGGGGAATTCCCTTTCCTAGCCAAGGGAAGCCATGACAGATAGTACCTGGAAAATCGGGACCCTCCCACCCTAATACTGCGCTTTTCCAATGGTCTTAGCAAACGGAACACCAGGAGATTATATCCCGCACCTGGCTCGGAGAGTCCCACACCCACGGAGCCTCACTCACTGCTAACACAGCAGTCTGAGATCAAGCCGCAAGTGTCAGCAAGGCTGAGGGAGGGGCATCCGCCATTGCTGAAGCTTGAGTAGGTAAACAAAGCAGCCGGGAAGACTGAACTGGGTGGAGCCCACCAAAGCTCAAGGAGGCCTGCCTGCCTTCCTGGACTCCAGTACTGGGGGCAGGGCATAGTTGAACAAACGGCAGCAGAAACTTCTGCAGACTTAAATGTCCCTGTCTGACAGCTTTGAAGAGAGTAGTGGTTCTCCCAGCATGTAGTTTGGGACCTGAGAATGGACAGACTGCCTCCTCAAGTGGGTCCCTGACACCTGAGTAGTCTAATTGGGAGACACCTCCCAGGAGGGGCCAACCGACACCTCATACAGCCAGGTGCCCTTCTGAGATGAAGCTTCCAGAGGAAGGATCAGGCAGCAACATTTGCCATTCTGCAATATTTGCTGTTCTGCAGCTTCCACTGGTGATACCCAGGCAAACAGGGTCTGGAGTGGACCTCCAGCAAACTCCAACAGACCTGCAACAGAGGGTCGTGACTGTTAGAAGGAAAACTAACAAACAGAAAGGACATCCACACCAAAACCCCATCTGTAAGTCACCATCATCAAAGACCAAAGGTAGATAAAACCACAAAGACGGGGAGAAACCAGAGCAGAAAAGCTAAAAATTCTAAAAATCAGAGGGCCTCTTCTCCTCCAAAGTATCGCAGCTCCTCGCCAGCAATAGAACAAAGCTGGATAGAGAATGACTTTGACAAGTTGAGAGAAGAAGACTTCAGATGATCAGTAATAACGAACTTATCCGAGCTAAAGGACGATGTTTGAACCCATTGCAAAGAAGCTAAAAACCATGAAGAAAGATTAGACGAATGGCTAACTAGAATAAAGAGCATAGACAAGACCTTAAATGACCTGATGGAGCTGAAAACCATGGCAAGAGAACTACATGATGCACGCACAAGCTTCAGCAGCTGATTAAATCAAGTGGAAGAAAGGGTATCAGTGATTGAAGATCAAATGAATGAAATGAAGCAAGAAGAGAAGTTTAGAGAAAAAAAGAGTAAAAAGAAATGAACAAAGCCTCCAAGAAATATGGGACTATGTGAAAAAAACAAATCTACACCTGACTGGTGTACCTGAAAGTGACAAGGAGAATGGAACCAAGTTGGAAAACACTCTGCAGGATATTACCCAGGAGAACTTACCCAACCTAGCAAGGCAGGCCAACATTCAAATTCAGGAAATACAGAGAACGCCACAAAGATACTCCTCGAGAAGAGCAACTCCAAGACACATAACTGTCAGATTCACCAAAGTTGAAATAAAGGAAAAAATGTTAAGGGCAGCCAGAGAGAAAGGTCGAGTTACCCACAAAGGGAAGCCTATCAGACTAACAGCGGATCTCTCGGCAGAAAGTTTACAAGCCAGAAGACAGTGGGGGACAATATTCAACATTCTTAAAGAAAAGAATTTTCAACCCAGAATTTCATATTCAGCCAAACTAAGCTTCATAAGTGAAGGAGAAATAAAATCCTTTACAGACAAGCAAATGCTGAGAGATTTTGTCACCACCAGGCCTGCCTTACAAGAGCTCCTGAAGGAAGCACTAAACATGGAAAGGAACAACTGGTACCAGCCACTGCAAAAACATGCCAAATGGTAAAGACCATCGAGGCTAGGAAGAAACTGCATCAACTAACGAGCAAAATAACCAGCTAACATCATAATGACAGGCTCAAATTCACACATAACCATATTAACTATAAATGTAAATGGGCTAAATGTTTCAATTAAAAGACACAGACTGTTAAATTGGATAAAGAGTCAAGAACCATCAGTGTGCTGTATTCAGGAAACCCATCTCACAGGCAGGGAAACACATAGGCTCAAAATAAAGAGATGAAGGAAGATCTGCCAAGCAAATGGAAAACAAAAAAAAGCAGGGGTTGCAATCCTAGTCTCTGATAAAACAGACTTTAAACCAACAAAGATCAAAAGAGACAAAGAAGGCCATTACATAATGGTGAAGGGATCAATTCAACAAGAAGAACTAACTATCCTAAATATATATGCACCCAATACAGAAGCATCCAGATTCATAAAGCAAGTCCTGAGTGACCTACAAAGAGACTTAGACTCCCACACAATAATAATGGGAGACTTTAACACCCCACTGTCAACATTAGACAGATCAATGAGACAGAAAGTTAACAAGGATATCCAGGAATTGAACTCAGCTCTGCACCAACCAGATCTAATAGACACCTACAGAACTCTCCACCCCAAATCAACAGAATATACATTCTTCTCAGCACCACATCACCCTTATTCCATAATTGACCACATAGTTGGAAGCAAAGCACTCCTCTGCAAATGTTAAAGAACAGAAATTATAACAAACTGTCTCCCAGACCACAGTGCAATCAAACTAGAACTCAGGATTAAGAAACTCACTCAAAGCTGCTCAACTACATGGAAACTGAACAACCTTGTCCTGAATGACTACCAGGTACATAACGAAATGAAGGCAGAAATAAAGATGTACTTTGAAACCAATGAGAACAAAGACACAACATACCAGAATCTCTGGGACACATTTAAAGCAATGTGTAGAGGGAAATTTATAGCACTAAATGCCCACAAGAGTAAACAGGAAAGATCTAAAATTGACACCCTAACATCACAATTAAAAGAACTAGAGAAGCAAGAGCAAACACATTCAAAAGCCAGCAGAAGGCAAGAAATAACTAAGATCAGAGCAGAAATGAAGGAGATAGAGACACAAAAAACCCTTCAAAAAATCAATGAATCCAGGAGCTGGTTTTTTGAAAAGATCAACAAAATTGGTAGACCACTAGCAAGACTAATAAAGAAAAAAAGAGAGAAGAATCAAATAGATGCAATAAAAAATGATAAAGGGGATATCACCACAGATCCCACAGAAATACAAACTACCATCAGAGAATACTATAAACACTTTTACGCAAATAAACTAGAAAATCTAGAAGAAATGGATAAATTCCTCGACACATACACCCTCCGAAGACTAAACCAGGAAGAAGTTGAATCCCTGAATAGTCCAATAAAAGGCTCTGAAATTGAGGCAATAATCAATAGCTTACCAACCAAAAAAAGTCCAGGACCAGATGGATTCACAGCTGAATTCTACCAGAGGTACAAGGAGGAACTGGTACCATTCCTTCTGAAACTATTCCAATCAACAGAAAAAGAGGGAATCCTCCCTAACTCATTTTATGAGGCCAGCATCATCCTGATACCAATGCCTGGCAGAGACACAACAAAAAAAGAGAATTTTAGACCAATATCCCTGATGAACATTGATGCAAAGATCCTCAATAAAATACTGGCAAACCAAATCCAGCAGCACATCAAAAAGCTTATCCACCACGATCAAGTTGGCTTTATCCCTGGGATGCAAGGCTAGTTCAACATACGCAAATCAATAAACATAATCCATCATATAAACAGAACCAAAGACAAAAAACAGATGATTATCTCAAAAGATGCAGAAAAGGCCTTTGACAAAATTCAACAGCCCTTCACGCTAAAAACTTTTTTTTTTTTTGAGACGGAGTCTCGTGCTGTCACCCAGGCTGGAGTGCAGTGGCATGATCTCGGCTCACTACAAGCTCCGCCTCCCGGGTTCATGCCATTCTCCTGCCTCAGCCTCCAGAGTAGCAGGGACTACAGGTGCCCGCCACCCTGCCTGGCTAATTTTTTGTATTTTTAGTAGATACAGAGTTTCACTGTGTTAGCCAGGATGGTCTCGATCTCCTGACCTCGTGATATGCCTGCCTTGGCCTCCAAAAGTGCTGGGATTACAGGTGGTGAGCCACCGCACCCGGCCTAAAAACTCTTAATAAACTAGGTATTGATGGGACATATCTCAAAATAATAAGAGCTATTTATGACAAACCCACAGCCAATATCATACTGAATGGGCCAAAACCAGAAGCACTCCCTTTGAAAACTGGCACAAGACAGGGATGCCCTCTCTCACCACTCCTATTCAACATAGTGTTGGAAGTTCTGGCCAGGGCAGTCAGGCAGGAGAAAGAAATAAAGGATATTCAATTAGGAAAAGGGGAAGTCAAATTGTCCCTGTTTACAGATGACATGATTGTATATTTAGAAAACCCCATCATCTCAGCCCAAAATCTCCCTAAGCTGATAAGCAACTTCAGCAAAGTCCTAGAATACAAAATCAATGTGCAAAAATCACAAGCATTCCTCTACATCAATAACAGACAAACAGCCAAATCATGAGTGAACTCCCATACACAATTGCTACAAAGACAATAAAATACCTAGGAATCCAACTTACAAGGGATGTGAAGGACCTCTTCAAGGAGAACTACAAACCACTGCTCAATAAAATAAAAGAGGACACAAACAAATGGAAGAACATCCCATGCTCGTGGATAGGAATAATCAATATTTTGAAAATGTCCATATTGCCCAAGGTAATTTATAGATTCAATGCCATCCCCATCAAGCTACCAGTGACTTTCTTCACAGAATTGGAAAAAACTACTTTAAAGTTCATATGCAACCAAAAAAGAACCCACATTGCCAAGACAATCCTAAACAAAAAGAACAAAGCTGGAGGCATCACGCTACCTGACTTCAAACTATACTACAAGACTACAGTAACCAAAACAGCATGGTACTGGTACCAAAACAGAGATATAGACCAATGGAACAGAACAGAGCCCTCAGAAATAACACCACACATCTACAACCATCTGATCTCTGACAAACCTGACAAAAACAAGAAATGGGGAAAGGATTCCCTATTTAATAAATGGTGCTGGGAAAACTGGCTAGCCATACGTAGAAAGCTGAAACTGGATCCCTTCCGTATACCTTATACAAAAATTAATTCAACATGGATTAAAGACTTAAATGTTAGACCTAAAACCATAAAAACCCTAGGGGAAAACCTAAGCAATACCATTTAGGACATTGGCATGGGCAAGGACTTCATGACTAAAACACCAAAAACAATGGCAACAAAAGCCAAAATAGATAAATGGGATTTAATTAAACTAAAGAGCTTCTGCACAACAAAAGGAACTACCCTCAGAGTGAACAGGCAACCTACAGAATGGGAGAAAATTTTTACAATCTACCCATCTGACAAAGGGCTAATATCCAGAATCTACAAAGAACTTAAACAAATTTACAAGAAAAAATCAAACTACCCCATCAAAAAGTGGGCAAAGGATATGAACAGACACTTCTCAAAAGAAGACATTTATGCAGCCAAAAGACACATGAAAAAATGCTTATCATCACTGGCAATCAGAGAAATGCAAATCAAAACCACAATGAGATACCATTTCATACCAGTTAGAATGGCGATCATTAAAAAGTCAGGAAACAATAGGTGCTGGAGAGGATGTGGAGAAATAGGAAAACTTTTATACTGTTGGTGGGACTATAAACTAGTTCAACCCTTGTGGAAGACAGTGTGGCGATTCCTCAATGATCTAGAACTAGAAATACCATTTGACCCAGACATCCCATTACTGGGTATAAACCCGAAGGATTATAAATCATGCTGTTATAAAGACACATGCATACGTATGTTTATTGTGGCACTATTCACAATAGCACAGACTTGGAACCAACCCAAATGTCCATCAATGATAGACTGGATTAAGAAAATGTGGCACATATACACCATGGAATAGTATGCAGCCATAAAAAGGGATGAGTTCATGTCCTTTGTGGGTACATGGATGAAGCTGGAAACCATCATTCTGAGCAAACTATCACAAGGATTTTAAACCAAACACCGCATGTTCTCACTCATAGGTGGGAATTGAACAATGAGAACACTTGGGCACAGGGTGGGGAACATCACACACCAGGGCCTGTTGTGGGGTGTGGGGACAGGGAAGGGATAGCATTAGGAGATATACCTAATGTAAATGACAAGTTAATGGGTACAGCACACCCACGTGGCACATGTATACATATGTAACAAACCTGCATGTTGTGCACATGTACCCTAGAACTTAACGTATAATAAAGAAAATAATAAAAAAAAGAAAAAAAAGAAATGAAAAAAATAAATCAAAAATAAAACCCCGGTTTACCTGATGCTAAGTTCTTTACCACTAAGTTTAACCTCCAACTAAGCCTATGTATGATTTATCTATGAAAATATAATAAAAATAATAAATATGTATTTACTATGGGCCAGTATTAGGTAATTTATTCTTGAAAACTATACTGTAAATAGGAGCTCTTATTATTCTGAATGATAAATGAGGAAACTTAAGTTCAAATCACCCTTTAGTCTTTTGTGTGACCCCGGGCAACTTATTTAACTTTTTAATGAACGTAGGCAGTCTATCTCTAGTGCCTAGACTCTCAACACTACACTAATATGTTTTTCTGTAAGAATTTTGGCCTCCTAAAAAATTTTAAGACAAATTTACCATAGCCTACTATCACACTACAAAATGAGGTTATAAACATGAACGATTACATATACATAAACATGTATACCTATGTGGTATTACGGGACTTATAGCTCCAGGTTACTTGGCATTTAAACAAAATTATCTCTAAGTTGTGCCATATGTCAGAGGTGAAATTCTATAATGGGTTTCATATATTTGACCATTTGTCTCCCAGGGAATTCAAAGTAGTTCTTTGAAAGATAACATAACAATTTTATAGTGCACAGTGAAATATCATTATAACCACCTTGTGGGTTAAAAAAAACTAAGTCATAGAAAAATTAAATGTCAAGATGCAGTTCAAAGAGTACATGGTAGCATTGAAAGAGTATACAAACGTCCCTAGATTAGTGGTATGTCTATAGGGTTATACTTCAAAGTTTAAGTTCAATTCAGTAGACATTTACAGGGCACAAACTATACAGGATACAGAGTAGACAATGTTGGGTTTGGAAACATGTAAAAGATTATTCTTACGTAGTTTATATTCTGGCAGAGAACAAAAAGATGTGTAAAGAACTATAAGGGAAGGGTTAAATACTAATAAAATTTAGAAGAGATTTACAAAGAAACCAAAAAAGAGAAAAATTACTACTCCTAGGTTGAAAAGCAGGAGAAAGCCTAAGAGGGACTAGGCATTTGATCTGGACTTTGGAAATAGTTCAAATGTTCACAGCAAAGAGAAATGGAAGTACCAACATAAGCAAAGAAATGGTTTTCCCAAAGCAGGGTTCAGAGATTGTTGTACCACAGCACGTATGACGAGAGAAATGAGGTCTAAGATTGGAAAGGGAGGTTCAGGGCAGATTGTAGAGAGCATTACCAGGTAAGCTAAGGAGTTCTGAATTTGTTTCTAAAGAAAATAAGGAAATTACATAACAATGTAAGCTTCAAGGAGATTCATCTGGCAGCATTTTTAAAAGGTGGACTAAGGAAGAGAGTAACTAACTGGGTGAGCCCTTATTGAACAATACTCTTGCATAGGGTATGTGAAGCCACTTGATACTCATGGAAGATCTTCCTTAAAAGTTAGTTTCACTGGAAGATTTTAGAGTTGAAAAAAATTATAACTTTTTTGTGTTCTTTAAAAGATCTTGATACATGCATCAGAATCATACTTTTCCACAATGACCACAAACAATGCAGAAAAATATGGAAAATTCACACGATGGCAGATCATTAGTGTTATGCTCTCAGGTAGCACCACTCTACACCTCTCTCCATAGTAGTACAGGTGCCCGCCACCCTGCCTGGCTAAACTTTCTTTCAGGAACAGGAGGAGCAAGAATTGGATGATGGTGTATAGCATTTATTAAGCACCTCTTCTGAGATTACCTGTAGAGGATGGGAAAATACAGACCAGACTTGATATTCCCAAGACCTTTTACCAATATCCACAAGTGGGAAAGTGGGGTGTTCCTTAGGAAAATAGGTTCTTAGTAGCAGTAGGATAAGGGTTACAGGCTTCACTGATTTCTCCAGTAAAACTTTTGTACCCTGAGAGAAAGGCATGTTCCTTTATACGCAGCATAGGTTAAAGAAGGGTAATCATTAGTACTGATATAGCTCTATGTTTCTCAAATTCTGTTAAGCTACTTTGCATTTGGTTCAACCTCATAATATGAACTGTCATAGCAACTCATTCAACTGCCACCCACATATAAGTTTATAGTCTATTTTTAATTGAAACTTCATCTAAGTCAGAAAAATTAGCAAAACCCAAAAGCTCAACTAAAAAGAGGTTTATGAAATTATCTTTATAGTTTGGTGTGGGAGAGAAAAAAGGCAACCAACTACTTCAAAGAAACCAATAAATGAGATTGTTGGCCTTTTAAGTCAAATAACTAACTTCAGATGTAGCAAGAAAAATTGTCAGTATCTACTTATGCTCTACAAATTCAAAATTTCCTTGGTTTTACAAGAACTTTCACCCTATTTTTTCCCCAAAGAAAATTGTTTTAAAATGTAAAATAAACATCCAATATCTAAATGTGTCCTTTTCTCTATTAAAAGGAAAAAAGTAATTATTTAAAAGGTCTAAGGTAAAAATGTATTTGTCATTAATGCCGGTACTCTACCTTCTGCTGAAAAGAATTAACAATATTTCCCTTCCTAATGTTAGAAAATTTCCTTGAAATGACTAAGAAAAATTTTTATTTTAACATGATACACAAAAGATGATTTCCAAAAGATATTTTCCAAAGATGGGTTTTCCCTTCTAATCAGTGACTTAGGCTATTATCTAAAAGCAGTTATCAGCTTGATCTAAAAATTTTTATGTATTTGTTAAAGCTATTATTGCTTGTTTTCATAAAAATCAATTTCTTTAAAGGAAAAAAAGCATAATTCTTCCCACATAAAATAAGAATGCTTATTTTTCTTTTTACTTAATTTATCATTCTCAGTTATCCTGGAAATGTGTCAAAATTTCATAGAAAGCACATTTCTCTCCTCTCTCTCCCTCTCTCAATCTCCCAACCCTCCCTTCTTCTATCTTTCCTTTTTTCCATCTTTTTTCACACACGCAAACAAACATACACAGTTTCAGAAAGTTAAAATTGCTTTTACTTTGGAGTATTTCACTTTCAAACTGTCCTTTGGAAAAAAAAGTGATATATACACTTAAAAAAAGCCATACATTAAATTTCCAGAGGTTTTTTTTTTTCCCCTGACACTGGAATTATTCATTTTGAATGAATGTTCCAAGTGCACACCTTATCAATAATTAAAATACCAATCAAAAGATATTTGCAAAGAGGAAAAAAATGTTATGGTAAAAACCTGAGGTGAGATAAGGACAAGATTTCCTACAGAAACCACAAATATACATTAATTCAGCAATGATGAATTCCAATAACATTATGCTATCACATTCATTTCACAAATCTTCACCAAGTGCCTACTAATGTGCAGGCACTGTCCTGTAACAGAATAAAACTGAAGAAAAAAATTTTCAAGGTCAAACCTTTTTTGTTCTTATAAAATTATACATATTTAATTTTTAAATATGCTCAATTTTTCTATAAAACTCATGAGACATTTTGAGTTTTCTATTTTAATGAAAAACTAAGAAGCAATTCTGAAAGCTGATAGCCTGTTGTCAGTGCATTTTTCATAACTACAATTAATATATTTTCCTTTGGAATTATTAATCTTTTAGGAACTGAATGTTTTATAAAACTAATTATTTCCCCTAAACTATGAAAGCATGACTTCCAGGAAGGAAAAAGGTTGAAGAAATTGGGAAATGAAGGGCTGTAAATTTGTAAATATAGAGGATCTAAGATGTCTCCACTGAACTGAACACTTCAGTTCTTTCAAAAGTATTCCGAACACCTAGCAGGCAAAAAGTGCAGCTTCTAGGATCCTCTCTTAATAGTAACTACCCAGGCTGAAAATAGACTTCCCCTGGCAAATCACTCACTGACTAATTGGGCATCTTTGCTTGCTGGCTATAACGTAGTTCTTGCAGTTTAAGCCACCAGCAATCAGTGCTGATTGAGTACCTATAATATGCAGAGCATGCAGTTCTCAGAGATCCTCACAGTCTAGACCTACAGAGTTTCAGGCCTCCTAGACCATCATGAAATTCTGAGATACAAAGAGATTTTCATTAAAAAAATAAATAGAGACAAATTCTTTATTTTTTATTTCCCACAGTTCAATTTTGACTCATGACATTTCAAAAGAGAAAATTTTACAGCTATACCTAAAAGATGCATGCAAATTGTCTTAACTGCAACAGATCAAGAAAACAAAACAATACTTAACCTTATGGTGTCAAGTTGAACAGTGGCATTCAAAAACTTTTATTTTTTCCTGAGAACAAGGAGATATAAACCATTCCACTTTCATCTTTTGACCATGATGTGAGCATAACCTCAATGAATCAAACCACACTGTATACACTAATTGTTAGTCACCTTCTGGGTTACCATTCAACTGTCATCAGATCAACTATTACAATATCACAGTGCTATGTTCAAGTAACCCTTATTTTCCCTAATAATTGCTCCAAAGTACAATGTACAAGATTAGTGATACTGGCATACTATTCTAATTATTTTTTTTTTTTTTTTTTTTTTTTTTTTTGGAGACAGAGTTTCGCTCTGTCATCCAAGCTGGAGTGCAGTGGCATGAACTCGGCTCACTGCAACCTCTGCTTCCCAGGGTCAAGCAATTCTCCTGCCTCAGCCTCCCGAGTAGATGCGATTATAGGTACATGACACCATGCCCGGCTAATTTTTGTATTTAGTAGAGACGGGGTTTCACCATGTTGGCCAGGCCAGTCTCGAACTCCTAACCTCCAGTGATCCGCCCACCTCAGCCTCCCAAAGAGCTGGGATTACAGGCGTGAGTCACCTTGCCTGGCCTGCTCTAGTTATTCTATTTTATTATTAGTTATTGTTTTTAATCTCCCGTGCAAACATTATAAATTAAACCATCATAGGTACATATGTATAGGAAAATGTATACAGGATTTAGTACTAATCTAGTTTTAGACATCCACTGGGGGTCGTGAAATGTAATCCTCATGAATAACGGCAGGGGGATTACTGCAGCTTTTTGTTTTGTTTTGTTTTTAAACTATTGAGCTGTAAAAGCAAACTGTAGACGATCATATTTAATATACACCATTGATATAAAGTTTAAAAACAGTCAACTTGCTAAATATTGTTTAGGGACACACACACACACACACACACACACACACACACACACACACACACACACAGAGTTGACCTCTGAACAATGCAGGAGTTGGGGCACTGGCCCTATGCACAGTCAAAAATCCATGTATAACTTTTGACTCCCCAAAAACTCAACTACTAGTAGCCTACTGCTAGCCAGAAGCCTTGGTGATAACATAAACAGTTGATTAACACATATTTTGTGGGCTGGGCGCGGTAGCTCATGCCTGTAATCCCAGCACTTTGGGAGGCCGAGGCGAGTGGATCACCTGAGGTCAGGAGTTTGAGACCAGCCTGGCCACCATAATGAAACCTCATCTCTAATAAAAATACAAAAAATTTGCTGGGTGTGGTGGCGGGCACCTGTAATCCCAGCTACTTGGGAGGCTGAGGCAGGAGAATCGCTTGAACTCAGGAGGCGGAGGTTGCAATGAGCTGAGATCATACCATTGCACTCCAGCCTAGGCAACAAGAGCGAAACTCCATCTCAAAAAACAAAAACAAAAACAAAAACACGTATTTCGTATGTTATATGTATTATATACTACATTGTCACACAAAGTAAGCTAGAGAAAAGAAACTCTAAGAAAATCATAAGGAAGAGAAAATATATTTACTATTTATTAAATAGAAGTGGATCATCATGAAAGTCTTCATCGTCATCGTCTTCACACTGAGTAGGCTGAGGAGGAGGAGGAAGAGGAGGGATTGTTCTTGTTGTCTCAGGGGTGGCAGAGGTAAAAGAAAATCTGCATGTAAGCAGACCTGCACAGTGCAAGCCCATGTTGTTCAAGAGTCAACTGTATGTAGTATAAAGACGTATGCAGAAATGACAAGTATGAACTTTAAAACAGTGGTTACCTTCAGACAAAGACGAAGAGCGATGGTACCAGAGGGGAGCGCATGGAAGGATTCCATTATATTTGTTTGCTTATTTATTTTTGAGACGGAGTCTCACTCTGTCACCCAGGCTGGAGTGCAGTGGCGCGATCTTGGCTCACTGCAACCTCTGCCTCCCGGGTTCAAGCGATTCTCCTGCCTCAGTCTCCCGACTAGGTGGGATTACAAGAGTGCCCCACCACGCCTGGCTAATTTTTTGTATTTTTAGTAGAGACAGGGTTTCACTGTGTTAGCCAGGATGGCCTTGATCTCCCGACCTCGTGACCCACCCACCTCGGCCTCCCAAAGTGCTGGGATTACAGGCGTAAGCCACTGTGCCCGGCTATAGTGTTTATTTCTCAAGCTTAGTTGTGGATACATGGATATTTATCATGTTATATTCTATAGTTTTTTATCAGTTTTTAGAAATACAACAAAACTTGTTATAAGTGGTATTAGTGGCAACTTGTTTTTCTTACTCCCCATTTTTTTTTATATATCTGTGATTAACTCCTCTTTGCTGCTTTATAGTATTCCGTTATATGTAATACACTATCTGGATGAGATATTTCTATTAATAGAGTCATGTAGTTACATAATCCATTCATGACTGGATAATATAGTATTGTCTTTCCATTCCATTTCTCAGTTTCCTCCACAGTTCATACCTATCTTGTTTTTTGTTTGCTGTTTTCTATGTACTCAAAACAGTCCCCCAGTTTTATGAATCTTCCCTGAATGTGTTTAAATACTCTCAATATTTATCAATTTCATCTTCTTGAAAAACATCTGGCTGAGCGCAGTGGCTCATGCCTGTAATCCCAGCACTTTGGAAGGCCGAGGCGGGTGGATCATGAGGTCAGGAGTTCAAGACCAGCCTGGCCAACATGGTGAAACCCTGTCTCTACTAAAAATACAAAAATTAGCCAGGTGTGGTGGTGCGCACCTGTAGTCCCAGATACTCAGGAGGCTGAGGCAGGAGACTTGCTCGAACCCGGGAGGCAAAGGCTGCGGTGAGCTGAGACTGTGCCACTGCACTCCAGCCTGGGTGACAGAGCAAGACTGTGTCCCAAAAAAAAAAACAAAAAAACAAAAAACAAAAAACTCCTGTGATCCTTCTGACTTCTGATCTAAACTGCTTTCTCAATAGGCCCTCTAATCAGCTGTCGAGTTGGAATTTTCCTTTCCCTCTTCCCAAGGGTTCCTTTCACCTCTCTTACTCATACTAGATTTTCTAATTTCTATATCTTATGTCTTCCTTTCTACTTGTTTTCTTATTTTTGGCAGCAAACATACTACAGTAGCTTCTTGAGAAAAGCTGAATGGAGATGTTCATAATTGGTAATTTTGCTAGGTATAAAATTCTAGGTTGGAAATAATTTTTTCTCAGATATTGAAGATGATGTTCCATTGTCTCCTTTCTTCCAGTATTTCTATTGAACAGCAAAACCTATATTTTTCTCATTTGGAAGTTTGTAAGATCTTTTATTTATTCCTAGGGTTCCACAATTACTCAATAATATGTTTTGGTATATCTTCCCCCCCCCCACCCCCGAGACAGTATCTCACCATATTTCCTGGACTGTAGTGCAGTGGCTAATCAGAGGTGTGATTAAAGCACACTACAGCCTCAAATTCCTAGCTTAAAGCAATTCTTCCACCTTGGCCCCCCAAGTAGCTTGAACTAAAGATGCAACCAGCTGCCCCTGGCTGGTGTCTAAGCCACACAGTCATTTTTATTGAATTTTATCCAATATGCTGGATAACTAGTGTGCCCTTTCATTTTGAATACTTGTCCTCAATACCAGAAAACATCCTTGATGTATTTCTTTTTTTCTGCCCTATATTTTTCCTATTTTTATCTAAATCTGAAATTCTTATTGCTGAAGTGTTGTGCATCTTAGACTGCTTCTCTGATTTTTTCCTCCTCTATTATTTCAATTGTGTTTATAATACACAATAAGCAAAACTTAAGTATATAGCACAAATAATTTTTCCATGTATATATACTTGGTGAACTACAATTTATCTTCCTGTATTATACCATCTCTGATAGGTATATGAATCAACCCATCTTCCTGTGTTATAACTAACCTGTATTATAGCCATCTTTAATAGGTAGCCACTATTATGACCATGAACGTAGTGTTATCTATTCTTATACTTCACATAAATGAAAGCGTCTACTATATACTCCCTTGTGAATGGTTTCTTTCACTCAATAACTGTGTATTCAGATTCACCCATGGGGTTATGTGTAGCAAGTCTGTTCTTTTTACTGCTATGAGTTCTCTAATTTTATTGTCTATCCTATTTCCTATCTCTCTGTACTGTTTTCTAGAGATATGCTCAACTTCATTTTCTAACCCTTTATTAGATTCAATTAAAATTTTTTTCTGGTTAAAAAAAAATTCCACAAGCTGATTTTAATACCCTGCATGTTCCCTACACAAACGTACGTATGTATGTATGTATGTATGTATGTATGTATGTATGTATGTATGTATAAAAATCTTGGTTTTGATTGTCTTACTTGCTTCCTCCACTAAGAAGAACCAAAATAGTGAGTGAATAACCATACTTCAAATAGATCATCCAAGAGAGAACACTGGGATTTAACAGAAAGTGACAGGAAATACCTAAAGCAAGGAGAAAGGAAGGGAGGCAGACTGCTTGGCTGGGATCAGCAGGGAGCTGAGAGCTACTCCCCAATGTGGGGAAAAGGTAATTGAAAGATCCTCAGTAGATCACATTCCCACCATGGACTCCTGAAATCCTAGCTTTGGGAGAACCCCTCAGTCCTTACAGGCTCTGAAACTAACAGAGGGTAACACCATGAGATTGTGCAACAGCACTGCTCTAAGGAGGGGAAAGAGCTCATGCTGGGTCCTACACACTCCCTGAGACCTAAACAGCTACAGCAAGGTACCATTTTTGAGTGCTGTCTACAACAGATTATGTACTGTCCTGGAACCCAACAGTGCCAGGGCTGAAGCTCAAGAGAAGCATGGCAGCTGCCTATGTGGCTTAGACATGAGCAAACATGGGCTACTGCACAGGAGACTGAGGCACAAGCACCACTGGGACTGAGGTGCAAGTAGTACACCCAGTGACAAGGCAGTTGTGCTGCTGCCTTGCCACTGGAGAGGCCTAGGCTGCCTGCCACTGAAGGCAGTCCCGCCCTTCCCAGTGTCAAGGCAGCAGCACAACTGCTTCCTCCCACCAGCTGAGCATCCTGACGGTAGCATGCGCATTGACCCACTCCTGCGTAACATGGCTGGTACCTGCACTCACTATCAGAGGACCTAAGGACAAGCCTACCTGGCCAAGCTTTGCCTTCTCCATGCCAGAGCAGAGTCTGGGGGTCAGGGGAGTACCCAGCCCAGTCCACCATTGTTGGCATCTGAACACTACTCCCATGGGCCTGAGGGTGGGCCTTTCCATCCAACTAATACCACTACAACTAACATCTACAAGCACATGCTGCCTGAGGGCTTGGAGACTGGCCTGTTCATCCCATTGCAGCAACCCAATATGAAAGCAAACTGCTCAGGAACCAGAGGGTTGTCCCGCCATTGTCACTGTCATTGCCCATGCCACACTAGCTGCCCAGAGGCCTAAGAACCTGCCCACTTGCTGGAACCAAGGCTTCAACACCTGGGTAAGTCACCTGGAGGCCCAAGTATTGGCCCACCTAGACGTGCCAACATCAGTGCTGGTGTATGCAACTCTGAGGCCCAGGAACAGGCACACCAAACCTACCACTGCCACCACTAGGCCCCAAATACTGAACTATTTGGTATCCAAATCCCCATAAAAACTCCAGCACAACCTCCACTAATAACTACACCCTAAGCCACTAAGGAAATCACAGACACCACTGGTGTTGTTTACAATTAAAGAAATCATGCAAAGATTATACTACTAGCCTGCACCCAGAATCAAAGCCAAAGTGTCCTAAAAAACCAACATCATAGATGCATTTTCAGGAAAAGTCCTCCTCTATAAAAGCCAGAAATTCAAAAAACTGAAAGAAGCGACTGTTATATGAGATGTATAGATATTAATGTAATAACACAGAAAACATGGAAAAGCAAGGAAATATTAATACCTCCAAAGAAACACAATAATTCCCCAGAAACATCCCAATCAAAAAGAAATTCATGAAATCCCAGAAAATGAAAATTATCAATTCTAAAGAAGCTCAGGGAGATATAAGAGAATTCTGAAAACAAAAAACAAAAGATAATTCAGGACATGAATGAGAAATATACCAAAGAGATAGATATCATTAAAAAAAAAAAGAACCAGACAAAAGTTCTGGAACTACAGCTTCAACAAAAGAGTAGAACAAGCAGAAGAAAGGTCTTTAGAAATAACACAGACCAAAAATAAAAAAGAATAAAAAAGAATGAGTGAAACATTTGTGATATGTGAGACATCATAAAATGACCAAAATCTGAATTACCAGGGTCCCAGATGGCGAAGGGAGAATGAAAGGGTTAGAAAACCAATTTAATGAAATAACAGACAAGTATGGCAAGATATTTAGAAATCCAGATACAGGAGACTCTCAGATCCCCAAGCAGATACAACATAAAAAGGTCTTCATAGCACATTATAGTCAAATTGTCTAAAGTCAAAGACAAAGAAATACTTCTAAAAACAAAAAGAGAAAAGTGTTTCGGCACCTATAATTAAAAAAAAAAAAAACCATCAGACTAACAATGAGTTTCTTTGCAGAAACCTTACTGACCAGGAGAAAATGGGATGACGTATTCCAAGCGCTGAAATAAAAAAAAAAGGCCAGTCAAGGATACCATAGCAAACAAAATTATCCTTAAAAAATGAAGAAAAAGTAGTCTTTCCCAGACAAAGAAAAGCTGAGGGAATTCATCACCACCAGACCAGACCTACAAGAAATGCTCAAGGGAGTCCTAAACCTGGAAGCAAACTGACAACCATCTACCATCATGAAAATACGCAAATGTTTAAAACTTAAGCACAAATGAGGAGGAGAAAGGTACAACTACAGAAAACCACCAAAACACAATGACAAACAAGAAAAGAGAAAGGAGCAAAAAATATAGAAAAGAACCAAAAACAATTGACTATATGACAGCAACAAAATGTTATATATTAATAACCACCTAGAATATAAATGAATTAAACTCTTCACTTAATAGATATAGACTCACTGAATGAATTAAAAAAATGACTTAACTATTTGCTGTCTACAAGAAATGTACTTTACCTGTAAAGACACATATAGAATGAAAGTAAAGGGAATGGAAAAAGTCTACTCAAATGGAAACTAAAAGGAAGCAAGAGTAGCTGTGCTTACATCAGATAAAACAGACATTGAGTCAAAATAAGGTAAAAAAAAAAAAAAAAAAGACAAGTATATAATGATAAAGTAATTATTCCAGGAGGAGGATAAGAGGATATAATGGTTCTAAATATATTAATATATGCACCTAACACTAGAGCACCCACATTCATAAATAAAATATTATTAGACCTAAGGAGACAGAGGCTCCAACACGATAGTGGGAGACTTCAACACTCCACTCTCAGCATTAGGTAAATAATCTAGACAGAAAATCAGTAAAGAAACATTGGATTTAAACTGGACTTCAGACCTAATGGACCTAACAGACATTTACAGAGATTGTTATCCAAAAATTGCAGAATAGACATTATTTTCATCAGCACATGGAACATTATCCATGATGGGCCATAGGTTAGGGCACAAAACAAGTCTCAATAAATTTGTAAAAACAGAAATCATAGGCCAGGCATGGTAGCTCACGCCTGTAATCCCAGCACTTTGGGAGGCCGAGGCAGCGGATCACCTGAGGTCAGGAGTTCAAGACCAGCTTGCCTGGCCAACATGGTGAAACCCAGTCCCTACTCAAAACACAAAAATTCACGGGGCATGGTGGCAGGTGCCTGTAATCCCAGCTACTCGGGAGGCTGAGGCAAAGAATCGCTTGAATCAGGGAGGCAAAGGTTGAAGTGAGCCAAGATCGTGCCACTGAACTTCATTCCGGGAGACAGAGTGAGATTCTGTCTCAAAAAAAAAAAAAAAAACAAAATAAAAATCATATGTTTTCTCAGACCACAATGAAATACAACTAGAAGTTTTAACCAAGAGGAATGTTGAAAGCCATAGATTCAGGGATGTTGAACAAAATGCTCCTGAACAAACACTGGGTCAATAAAAACATTCAGATGGAAATACAAATATTTCTTGCAAGAAATGAAAATGGAAAAACAACATACCAAGATGTGTGGGATATAGCAAAAGCAGTAGTAAGTGAGATATATAAAACAATAAATGCCTACATTTAAAAAGTAAAAAGATTCTAAATAAACAATCTGACAATATGCCTCAAGGAACTAGAAGAGCAAGAACAAACCAAACCACAAATTGGTAGAAAGGAAGAAATAATAAAGATAAGAGCAGAGCTAAACAAAATAGATACTAAAAAAGCAATATAAAGCATCAATGAAATGAAAAATTGGTTCTTTGAAAAGAAAAAATTGATAAACCACTAGAGCTAGACTAACCAGGAAAAGAAATGACCCAAATTTTTAAAAAATGAAAAAGGAGACTTTATAATTGATACCACAAAACTACAAAAGATCATAATAGACTATTATAAATAACGATACACTAACAAACTGGAAAACTTAAGAGAAAATGGATAAATTCCTAGAAACATACAACCTACCAAGATTGAATCAGGAAGAAACAGAAAACCTGAAAAGACCAGTAACGAGAACTTGAAGCAATAATTAAAATGTCTCCCAACAAAGAAAAGCCGGGACTGGAGAGATTCACTGCTGAGTTCTACCGAACACACAAAGAACTAATACCAATCCTCCTCAAACTATTCCAAGAAATTGAAGAGGAGCAAATTTTCCCTAACTCATATCATGAATCCAGCATTACCATGATACCAAAACCAGACAAGGACATAATAACAACAACAACAACAAAAAACTATAGGTCAATATCTTTGAAGAACACAGATGTAAAATCCTCAACAAAATACTAGCAAACCGTAATTCAACAGCACAACAGACAATATTTGCAAACTATTCATCCAACAAAGGACTAATACCCAGAATATGCAAGAAACTCAGTCGACAATAGAAAAACAAATAATCCCATTAAAACATGGGCAAAGGACATGAATAGACAATTCTCAAAAGAAGACATACAAATGACCAATGGGTATATGAAAAAATGTTCAACATCACTAATCATCAGGGAAACGAAAATCAAATAATACATCATGATCAAGTGGAGTTTATACCAGAGATCCAAAGATGATTTAATATATGCAAATCAATCAGTGTGATACATCACATCAACAGAATGATAGACAAAAACCATACGATCATTTCAACTGATGCAGAAAAAAGTGTGACAAAATTCAATGTCCCTTCATGATAAAAACTGTCAACAAACTAGGCATAGAAGGAATATACCTCAAAATAATAAAGACCATAAATGACAAACCCATAGCTAACATATACTGAACCGAAAAAAGTTGAAAGCCTTTCCTCTACAAAATGAAACAAGAATGCCCACTTTCACCACTCCTATTCAACACAGTACTGGAAGTTCCAGCCACAGCAATCAGTCAAGAGATAAATAAAAGACATACAAATTGGAAGTGAGGAAGTCAAATTGTCCCTCTCTGCAGATGACATGATCTTATGTTTAGAAAAACTAAAAGAGTCCAACAAAAAATCTCTTAGAGTTGATAAGCAGATTCAGTAAAGTTGCAGAATACAAAATCAACAAACAAAAATCGGAAGCATTTCTAGACACCAATAATGAAATAGCCAAAAAAGCATCAAGGAAATCCAATTTACAATAGCTAAAAAGTAAAATAAAATACTTAGGAATACATTTGACCAAGAAGGTGAAAAATCTCTACCAAAAAAAGCTATAAAACACTGATGGAAAATATTGAAAAGGGTATAAACAAATGGAAAGACAACCCATGCTCATGGATCAGAATAATTAGTATTGTTAAAATGACCATACTGCCCAAAGCAATCTAAAATTTAATTCGATCCCTATAAAATTACAATGTAATTTTTCACAGAGTTAGTAAAAAGAATTCTAAAATGTTTATGGAACCAAAAAAGAGCCAGGATGGCCAAAGCAATCCTGAGCAAAAAGAACAAAGCTGGAGGTAGCACACTACCTGACATCACATTATATTACAAGACCATAGTAACCAAAACAGCATGGGAATAGCACAACAACAGACAAAAAGACGAATGGAACAAAATAGAAAAGACAGAAATAAATCCACCTATTTACAACTAACTGATTTTTGACAAAGGCACCAAGAACATATGCTGGGAAAAGGACACACTCTTCAATAAATGGTGCTGGGAAAATCGGATATCCATATGCCAAAGAATGAAACTGGACCATTATCTCTCATCACATACAAAAATCAATTCAAGATGGGTTAAAGACTTAAAAGTAAGACCCAAAACTATGAAACTAATAGAAGACAACATAGTGAAATTACTTCAGAACACTGGTCCAGGCAAAGATTTTACAGCTAAGACCTTAAAAGCACAAAAAACTAAAACAAAAATAAACAAGGGGACTATATTAAACTAATAAGCTTCTGCACAGCAAAGGAAATAATCAACATAGTGAAGAGACAACTTGTTGAACAGGAGAAAATATCTGCAAACTATTCATTCAACAAGGGATTAATATTCAGAATATCCAAGGAACTCAAGAATGAAAAAACAAATATCCCATTAAAAAGTGGGCAAATGACACAAATAGACAATTCTCAACAGAAGACATACAAATGACGAACAGGTATATAAAAAAATGTTCAACATCACTAATCATTAGGGAAATGCAAATCGAAACCAGAAAGAGTTCTCATCTTACCCCAGGTAGAATGGCTATTATTAAAAAAACAAAAGATAACAGATGCTGCCAAAGATCTGGAGAAAAGGAAACTCTTATACGCTGTTGGTAGGAATATAAATCAGTACAACCACTATGGAAAACGGTATAGAGATTTCTTAAAAAAACAACAACAACAACAACAACAACAATAGAACTACCATATGATTCAGCAATCCAACTACTGGTTATCTGTCCAAAGGAAAAGAAGTCAGTATATCAAAGGGATACCTGTACTTGCATGTTATCACAGAACTGTTCATAGTAGCTAAGATATGGAATCAACCTAACTGTCCATTGACAGATGAATGGATAAAGAAAATGTTGTACATATATACAATGGAAGACTACTCAGCCATAAAAGGAAGTCAATCTTGTCATTGCAGCAATGTGATTGTAACAGGAGGTCATTATGGTATGTGAAATAACCCAGGTAGAGAAAGATAAATACCATATGTTCTCACTCATATGTGAAAGCTACAAAACTTGATCTCACACAAATTGAGAATAGAATGAGGTACCAGGGGCAGGGAAGAGCGTGATGGTGGGAGGTGGAAATGAAGAGAGGTCAATGAATGGGTACAAACCTACAGCTAGATAGAAGAAATAAGTTCTAACACTAGATATTAGACTACACTGACTATAGTTAACAACAGTATTATCATATATTTCAAAACCACTAGAAGAGGGGACTTAAAATGTTACCAAAACATAGAAATGATAAATTGTCAAGGTGATGATACCCTAAATATCCTGACTTGATCATTACACATTTTATGCATGTAAAAATACTTACATGTACCCCATAAATACATAACATATTATGAATCAATAAAAGAAATGTTTAAAAATCTTCATTTTGTTTCATTTTCTATCATCTCCCCAGATATTAATTTTAGTTTAGCTTCTTTTTATGTTTGTTTTTTTCCCTCTTCCCTGCATAGTCTTATTCAAGTTGTTTTTATTTTTTTGTTTTGGTCTCTAAAAAAAAGTCAAATGCTGTCTTCCAATGCCTAATGATATTTGGCTGTATGCTCATATTTAAGAATAGGGCTAAGTGGAAGCTAAGTGGAAGGCCAGTAGAACGGACAGGGCTTGTTGACAGTTGTGTTCATTGAAGGATGATGTGACTGAGCTATATCCCTGGGGAACTCCCAGGGAATTTGTAAGTCTTTCTTTCTTGGACTTCTTAAATTTGGCATAGAAAACTCTTCTGGTCTCTTGCCTTGATTATATATACTTGATTACCAATATGCTGAGGGCTAACAGAAGACTGAAGTCTCAACACTCAACAGGCAAAAATTCCATGTACTATCTCTGATTCAATCTACTATTCACCAGCTAATATCGTCTGGATGTGTATCCTGGCCCAAATCTCATGTTGAAAAGTAATCCTCAGTGTTGGAGGTGAGGCTTAGGTGGGAGGTGATGGAATCATGGGAGCAGATTTCTCATGAATGATTTAGCACCATCCTCTTCATGCTATCCTCACAATAGTGAGTTCTCATAAGATCTGATCCTTTAAAAATGTATGGCATTTCCCACCTCTCTCTCTTGTTCCTGCTCTGGCCATGTGACATGCTTGCTCCCCTTTCACCTCAGCCATGATTGTAGGTTTCCTGAGGCTTCCCCAGAAGCTAAGCAGATGCCAGCATCATGCTTCCTGTTCAGCCTGCAGAACTGTAAGCCAATTAAAGCTCTTTTCTTTATAAATTACACAGCCTCAGGTATTTTTCTTCTCTTTTCTTTTTTCTTTTTTTTCCCTTCCCTCGTCTCCCTCCCCTCACCTCCTTCCCCCTCTTCTTTTTTCTTTTCTTTTCTAGACAAGGTCTCAACCTCCCGGGCTCAAGTGAATTTCCCAGCTAAGCTTTCCTGAGTATCTGGGACTACAGGCACATGCCACCATGCCCAGCTAAGTTTTTGTAGAGATGGGGTTTCGCCATATAGCCTAGGCTAGTCTCGAACACCTGAGCTCACATGATCACCTGCCTAGGCTTCCCAAAGTGTTAGGATTACAGGTTTGAGTCACTGTGTCTGGACTCAAGTATTTCTTTATAGCAATGCAAGAATGGCCTTATACACCTGCCCTCTGCCTTCTGCTGTTCTGCAATATCCACAGTCCTGGCAACTATATTTTACCCTCTACAGAATATATGCCTTTAGTCTTCTGCCAAGTAGGAGAGGCTTTACTGTATGACGGCCTAGCTGTATGAGGAGGATGGGATCTTGAAAACCAACTACTACTTTTTTTTTTTTTGAGACAGAGTCTCGCTCTGTTGTCCAAGCTGTAGTGCAGTGGCACCATCTCAGCTAACTGCAACCTCCGCCTCCTGGGTTCAAGGGATTCTCCTGCTTCAGCCTCCTGAGTAGCTGAGATTACAGGTGCGCACCACCACATCTGGCTAATTTTTGTATTTTTAGTAGAGATGGGGTTTCACTATGTTGGTCAGGCTGGTCTCGAACTTCTGACCTCCTGATCCGCCCGCCTCAACCTCCCAAAGTACTGGGATTACATGTGTGAGCCACCGCACCCAGCCACCACTTTAACTCCTACTTCCAAAAGGCCCTAGTGTTTCCAATTTCTGAGTTGTATAAGATGCTGATATATACATCAGATTTTTGTCAGTTTTCCCCACTACAAACTTATAATTGAGATTCCTCAGGTCTAAATTAGTTAGCACTCATCCACCTGCCTTCCAGCTTCCAAATTTTATTACTTATCTCCACGCTAATTTTCTTTGCCCTTGCAATTTTATTTATTTAAAAACTTCTTTACTTTTGGAGGGTCATTGGGAAAGACCTAAGCTATCTGCATATCTTTGTATCTAACCAGAAGTCCTTTTTGCTTTTTTGCTATATTTTGAAAAGGAACATAAAATTCATGAAGCAAAAAATCTGATTCTAAATTTAGATTGTAGCTGTACCTTTCCAAAACTAGTTTTCTATAAGCTTCTTCTATCAAAGTATAAGCCATTGAAAAAATGAAAATTTCCAATCAACTAATCATTTCATTTAAATAAAATCAATAAACTCACATGACAGATTTTACCATGATTTAAAATGAACAGATGCTTTGCAATAATTTAGAATATTACTAAATAATCTGCTACATTCCAATACATCCAATCAAAATATTTTTCTTTAATTACTATGATTGAATCAAATTAATTTCTTTAGCCTATAATTAAGGTTTTTATTTTCTGTGGAATATAAATTTTATTAGCCACTATCATAACTCACTGCTATATTTCAGATTACATGAACCACCTGGGTTCTTCAATACGGTGTTTTAGTTATCACCACAATATGTTCTTGAAACTAAAACACTGTTTTTTTGCAACAGAGTCTCGCTATGTCGCCACGCTGGAGTGCAGTGGTGCAATCTCAGCTCACGGCAAACTGCGCCTCCTGGGTTCAAGCGATTCTCCTGCCTCAGCCTCCCAAGTAGCTGGGACTATAGGCATGCACCACCATGCCCAGCTAATTTTTATATTTTTAGTAGAGACGGGGTTTCACCATGTTGGCCAGCCTGGTCTCAATCTCCTGACCTCATGATCTCCCTGCCTCAGCCTCCCAAAGTGCTGGGATTACAGACCTGAGCCTCCATGCCCAGCCGAGACTAAAACACTTTTTAAATCAGATGTCTAGAGGATAAGAAAGCTAGATTATTCACACGCCATTTTAATTTTGAACACAATGTTTATCTCAACATACTAATTGATATTCTAAAATATTTACTGGAGTTTCAAACAATGAATTTTTTAAAACAATATAAAGAATCAAATGTGAAGTAGAGTTATGTTGTGCTGTTTCTATAGCAGTCAAGAAATGATTAGTGAGAAAGTAAAAACAATTCAGTTTATATATTTGATGTTGTTAAATAGTTTTTATCATAAGCCTATTTTGATCTTAATAATTAAAATTCACTCTGCATCAGTTGCTATGGCAGCACAACTTCACTGAACAATGAATTCCTCAAGTTCTGCTGTGAAGTCACTGCTGGCCTGAAGTCTTTACTTTGAGACTAGAGAGTTAAATATATAATTTTCTAGTTCATAAATATCTAGTCAATACTTGGAATTGCTTTGCAATCTATAGCAAGAGTTTTGCTCTCAGAGTCCTGAGGACTGAGGCTTTTTATTTGGCTTTCATTTCCTATCCCTTTAATAAATGAAAACATTCTTGATAAGAACCATTTCGGCAGGGCTCACCTCAGGCAGATTGGCTACAACTATAAATAGTAAAATCTGCCATCTGCCTTTCTATTCTTGTGCTGAATGCAGTGCTGGCATTGTGTTCATACTTCGCTGGTGCCAGGCCTGATGCTGTATAGCCAGCAGCAACAAAAAATAATAGTGCAAGACAGAGATAATGAAATGAAGAACAGAAATGGTACTACTATAATTAACTGCTGTTTTGATATTCACCACAGTAAAGAATACACAATGGGGCTGAGAGACTAAAGCCACATTTTTGCCTTAGCCTCTTTAATGGGTTTGAAATCAAACTGTTGTTAAAGGCCAGTGATTTTTACATCACTGATAATTAATTAAAATGTAAAGAACCTACGCACAGTTAGCAATGTATGTTTGTCATGTTAGCAAGAGACTCAATAGATGTACCATGTATTCTTTATTCTAATAGCATTTAATGAGGCATCTCTTTTTATAATCATGGATATTTTCCTGTTCTATTTTAGAAAGATAAATGTTATGGTTAATAATGAGTGTGAACATGACTGGATTGAAGGATGCAAAGTATTGATCCTGGGTGTGTCTGTGAGGGTGTTGCCAAAGGAGATTAACATTGGAGTCAGTGGGCTGGGGAAGGCAGACCCACCCTTAATCTGGTGGGCACAATCTAAGCAGCTGCCAGCGAATATAAAGCAGGCAGAAAAACATAAAACGGTGAGACTGGCCTAGCCGCCCAGCCTACATCTTTCTCCCATGCTGGATGCTTCCTGCCCTCAAACATCGGACTCCAAGTTCTTCTGTTTTTAGACTTGGACTGACTCTCCTTGCTCCTCAAGCTTGCAGACAGCCTGTTGTGGGAACTTGTGATCATGTAAGTTAATAAACTCATATACATAAATATATATATATGTGTGTGTGTGTGTATATATATATGTATGTGTGTGTATATATATATATTTACACATGGGAGTTTATACAAAAATACAAACAAAAAGTATATACATATATATTATATATAACGTGTGTGTGTGTGTATGTGTGTGTGTGTGTGTATATATATATTAGTTCTGTCTTTCTAGGGAACCCTGCCTAATGCAATCAGCTTTCCATAATACTTCCATAAACAGCAATGATGAAAAAATTATACTGAACCATTTCCCATGCTCTTAGTTCTGAAACCTCAAGCAAATTTTAATTTCATACACAGCTCCCATCATTCCTGTTGGGAACTTTGAAATCCTCAGCTACTGTAAAATACAAACTTTTTCTGGTCTTGCTGTTATATACATCTGACCAGTTTTAAATAGAGAGTGACTGTCAAGGCAATCATTTGTACGCCGGAAGTGAAGAAGGCTACTGCCATAATGCATATTCCTCTAACAGCAATTACTGAAGCCATTAGCTTATTTATACAACTAGCAGCCAACTTCCAGAAGGCACCATTCATTCCTGAAGGAAGTGCCATTCATATAGAACACAATGTGAACAGCATCTCCTTGAACTGTACAACATGGCTGTACTAAATGTATATTTAACACCCAAGAGGAGATGAACACAGAATATAATCTACCCTCCAATCCATAGGTTCTGCATCTGCAAATTCAATCAACCAGTGATTGAAAATATTCAGGAAAAAAATAACAATACAGCAATAAAAATACAAACAAAAATACACTTAATAGCTATTTAAATAGCATTTACAATGTATTAGGTATTATAGGCAATCTGGAGATAATTTAAAGTATACAGGAGGATGTGTGTAGATTACATGTTAATACTACACCATTTAATATAAGAGACTTGAGCATCCTGGAGGTTGGCGTCTGTGGGCGTCCTGAAACCAATCCCCCCTAGATACTGAGGGAGGCTTTATACGGATAGTTCAATCCTGTGACTGTCAAACCTGGTCACATATCAGAAACACCTGGGCAGTAATTTAAACATACTCTTGCCTGGACCTTGTCCCAGACAACTTAAATCAGAATCTCAGATGACCAGAATCTCAGGTCCTGGCATTGTTTTCTGGTTTTCATTTTTTAATGCGCATTTTTGTTTGCTTTTAACTTCCCTTAGGCGATTTTAATGTACGACCATGGTTGAAAACCACTGATATAATGATATCAATTCTGATTAAGTCTTTCAAGACAAAGACAAATGATTTAACCTTCTGTATCCATTGACACCAGAAAATATTTTTCCTAAAACTCTTAACTAGCTTTAAAAACATTAAAAAGAAACTTAGTAATATGCTTAACTGCCAAATGTTAACAAGCATATATAAAGAACGATGTCACTGAAAATATAAAGAACTATGTCAATGCAAAATAACAACCAAAACAATATCAACTGTGTAAAGGTATAAAATAATAAGAAGGAATTTCAATGTGATACATTAAAGACAAACATTCTTCAGGAGTGGAACACATTGCTTAGTGAAAGAAACAGATGTACTGAGTAGAATGGGGTACATCTGGAAGAGTCTACTATAATCAAATAGCATTTACATTCAATAGCTATAGTTGATTTTTTTACCTCATAATAAGGAAGGGAGAAGTTTAACAGGTACTTCTACAGTGTATTTCTACAGAATCTACTTCTATGGATACAGGCATTTTTTAAACTTCCCTTTCTAGAAATTATATCAATAGCCCCCCTAGAACTGCAGTGATATAATTTGTTCACTCCAGATCTATAATGTTTTATCACTGGTCTAGTCACTTTCCAGGAGAGAATCTCTAGCTCTCTTAAAGATGGAGTCTTTTAACAAAAAATTTTCAGGGATATAAAAATATTGCAAAAGGTATGTTTCTCTCAAATTATGTCCTCAAAATGATTTAACCAAATCCTTTTAAATTTCTCCCTACAAAACATATGAAATAAATACTTCCCATGAATGTATAACTCATCAATGTAATAAAAACACTTTTAATAACATATGGTTAAGTTACATTGCATCCCCATAATATCTCATTCATGCTAATAATCTTATATCTTAGTGAAATATTATTCACGTCTGTATCTGAGCTTTTCCCCTTAGTGAAATTTTAGGGACTTTATAACAAGTTTCTCTTTGGAATAATTGATGAGCTCCACATTTTAAAATAATTGTGTGCTAACACTTGAATACAGGACTATATTAACAACATACGTTTCAAAGCATCAATAATTTATTTTATTTATTTATTTATTTATTTATTTATTTATTTATTTATTTTTGAGACAGAGTCTCGCTCTGTCACCCAGGCTGGAGTACAGTGGCACGATCTCAACTCACTGCAACCTCTGCCTCCTGGGTTCAAGCGATTCTCCTGCCTCAGCCTCCCAACATCAATAATTTCTTAAAAATCACCGTTCAAATTCTTGGGTTCAACTCTCAGCTCTGCCACTTAACTAGGAATAGTTATTAAACCTTGCTAAGCCCTAATTATAACACACTTGTTTTGAGGATTAAATGTGAAAATGCATACAGTATGTATCACAGTGCTTGGCACACAGTGTGTACTCAGTAAATATTATCTACTGTAATTATCTATTGAGTCTTGATAAACTCTAAATTTGGCCTTTATATTCAAGTAATAGTCATTGATTCAAGGATGTTCTTCAAATTAATATTGAAAAAGACAGGGCCAGACATGGTGGCTCACACCTGTAATACCAGCACATTGGGAGGCCAAGGAGAGAGGATCACTTGAAGCCATGAGTTCAAGACCAGCCTAGACAACATAGGAAGACCCCCATCTCTACAAAAAATTCAAAAATTAGTCGCATTTTTGTATTTTTTGGTGAGAATTGTAGTAAAGGGATAACTCTGGAAATTACATGTATAGATGTATTTGGCATATGCCTATAGTCCCAGCTACTCAGGAAGCTGAGGGAGGAGGATCACTTGAGCCCAGGAGGTCGAGGCCGCAGTGAGCTGTGATTGTGCCACTCTGCACTCTAGTCTGGGTGACAGAGCGAGACCCTATCTCAAAGCGTGTGTGTGTGTGTGTGTGTGTGTGTGTGTGTGTGTGTGTGTGTGTAGAGCTTCAGTTTTCATCCCTTGACTTTCATAATAATCTATATTGTTAATAAAAGTTCTTAAGTTTATTTTGCAGTTGAATATTTGCAAGTGATTTTCCAGGAACTATCATTATTACTGTTTTTTACACACTTCTATTAGAAGCTTGGCTCCTATTTTGATTAACAAATAATTAGCCGGTACCTAAGAAATGTCTCCAAGTGATCTAAGTTACAAATATCATAGTAGGACCCAACTTAAGATAGAGTGCTCATTCTATCATTTTTATTTTAAAAATAAAAATAATTTCCAGAGTTATGCCTTTACCACCATTATCGGCAATAAGGCGGACTATTTCTATTTATAGTAACCCTTATCTACCAACTATGGGTCAGTAAATATGCAGAGAGCACTTCAATACCATATACCTAGTCATGGTGGGCTACTCCTGATTTTTAAAATACCATCACTGTTCTTAAGGAACTTGTAATTCAATGAAACACGTAAGTATGGTTGTAGCAATAACAAACATTTAGAAAGTAACTAACACAGGTAGGTGTATTAAGGTCTGTATGTGGAAACCAACCAATTTGCAAATGTAACAAATCAGTCTTCAAACTACAGTATAATACTTAAGATCTCCCAAAACTTGTTAGACTTATTACCTCAAACTGCAGATAAGCTAGAAAATCAACACTCCTGCCAAGTGGGAACAAGCCCTGTTTCTGAATAAATTATACTTCAGTGTGTGTGCATGCACAAACACAGGGACACACATTTTCAAAGCTGTAATAGCTCAAGTACTATCTAATTGATTTTAAGATTTTATCTAATTTTATTACAAGAGCAGATAATTTTACTTCCCAAAAGTGGTGGATATTTTGAATGAATGAGAGTTGTTCTTAATATTTGTCAATTTTCCTGATTATCTGTAATTATAGTAACTACTTCATAGGATACAAAATTTCAGTTGGAGTAAATTCAAGAGATCTGTTGTACAAAACCATGACTATAGTAAATAACAACGCATTGAAAATTGCTAAGAGAATTTTTTTAATTGGAAAAAATATACACTCTTCTTCAATTATTTGATACTGGAAAATAGTAACTTTTTCAGAAAAATGTTATATTAATATATAATGGGATGAATAATGTTATTTTAAATAAAGAACATTTTTAAAATTTCTTAGGTTTGACTTCTAATATGGAAAATGTCAAAAGACAAAACCTACAAAAACAAAAATTATCAGGGCCCTCAATAATTTTTAAGCATATAAAGCAGTTCTAAGACTAAAATGATTGAGAAGTACTGCAACAGACTGAATTAGATTCTCAGGGCCCAGCCTGCAAATTTGGATCCAATCAAAAACCCATCAGAAAGAATTGTGATTAAAAAGAGTGTGGTGCAATTGAATATGCTGTGTGAAAACAAAGAAGGAAAATCATCTTGATCTAGAAACCAAGGTTAGCTAAGAAAAAAGGACAAGCAAAAGCAAACATTTGCTGAGGGAAAACTCCACAGTGAAACTGAGGCTCCTGGGACTGTAATTTTGGCCTCAATGTTCTTATGCATCTACTTAGCAAATGGTAAATGGCAGTGCAACGTTTAAACAAGTACATATTTTTAATTCATGATAAAAATCAGCAAACTGTGTAAGTTATAACTTACAGCAGATTACCCTCCTCTATCTCATGGTCTTTAACTGATACATAACTCTTTCAGGTCAAGCTTCTTGAGGAACTAGTCTATGGCTGCTGTTCTACTTCCTTTCCATTTCTTGTCTCCTTAAAGTCTGGCTTCTATCCCACTTTCCTTACCTAAATTTTTAAAGGTGGAAAACGAATCCTACCAACACGAAGATCCCTCCCCAGTTTTTTTTTTTTTTTTTTTTTTTGGCTTAAAATATAACACATGCTTCATGATTTAAAAATCCAGTATCACAAAACAGCCCATGATTCCATTGTTGTCATGAGTCCTCTTTCCAGAAGCAACTTCTTATCTAATAGTAATAATTATTCCTAAATAGCCATATGCTTATATTGCTATTTCTTGATTTATTAATTTCAGATTTTGCCCTTAGGTTCCTGCTCTGATAGCTGAACCTTCATCTTTAAAAGAACAGCAGCATTCAGTGCTATCACTTTTCAGTCTTCATGATACTCTCCTCTTGACTTTCATGACACTGTGTCATCCCAAAGTAATCACGATTTTGTTAGTTTGGCTTTACAATTTCTCATATGGAGTGTGCTTCAAATTTATTGCCTCTTAGTTACAGATCTAACAAAGATGTTATTTGTACTATACATTTTAAAGAAATTTATCTAAATAAAACTATTTTTAGATGTTACTATAACATTAAGAGAAATTCCATATCAAAATAAGCTGTGAAAAATGTTAAGCTGGAAAAGCATTTGTTACATTAATCAAAACATGTCAGTAATATGGTATAGCTTATAATAATGATTTAGTCTAGAAAAGTGGCAAATGACAACAACTACTAGGCTCAAATTTTATTTATTTATTTTTGGGGGTATAATGTCTTGCTCTGTTGCCTAGGCTGTAGTGCAGTGGTGTGATCATGGCTCACTGCAGCCTCAACCTCTTGGGCTCAAGTGATCTTTCTACCTCAGCCTCTGGAGTAACTGGACTACAGGCATGTATCACCAAGCCTGGCTATTTTTTTTTATTTTAATTTTTGTAGAGACAGGGTGTCACTATGTTGCCCCAGCTGGTCTCAATCTCCTAGCCTCAAGCGTTCCTCCTGCCTCAGCAATTTTATTCTCCCAAAGTGCTAAAATTACAGGCGTGAGCTACTGCATCTGGCCTCAAAGTTTATTTTTTCAGGTAGTAAATAATCCATTAAGTGGCAGACATTATATTTCAAACCAAATACAAGTAAATAATACTTAAAATTATATTAATATTGAGTGATGCTATAGAATCAACATTTTAAAAGCACGGGAAAATATAAACGAAAGTACTTACTAGGTGCTATTTGTGCCTTTTATGAATGATTAAATTGGAATAAAAGCATCATTTGGCTATAATATTAACAACTGTCATAAAGTATTTCCTTCAGGCATATGTGGGACCCTCTAGCATAATGGTACTATAACAGAAACTTATTCTCAGGGAGAACTGCAGTTACCAGAGAGGCTTAATTTCATTGCATTACAGCACTATAGATGAAAAATGTAAGCAAGAGCTAGAAAATTTGTATGTATATCTCTTTATTTAAAACATATATTGAACAGCATATATAATTTTGTATGTGTACATGTGTAAATAATTATTCTTCTCTGAGAAGAATTACCTAGGCTAAAGCAATGTCTTCAGCATTTTGGGCTCCAGAAAAGTACACATTTAACATGCTTGTCATAGAGGCCTCCCCCAGTGCACCCAGTGAGGCATACAAATCCAGATAATGAAAATTCTGATTTACCTGGCTACACTATTCTGAATGTCTGACCTGTTACCCATGTGCAAATTTAAAGAAGATTAGAGAAAGAGTGAAGGCTTACAGTGTGGTCATTATGCTTTGAAACATGCCTTTTTATACATGGCAAGATGATACATTTCAGTTGTCCCCTTTACTTCGAAGAAGGTGTTGTGCTAAAGTATAACATGTAAATTTTAGTATGGGCTTAAACACTCACTTCTTATGTATATGTTTATCTTCCTTACGTTCCTATTTTGAAGTAAAACAGGCTAAAACACCTACCACCATACATTTCAGACATTATGTAAGTGTTAATTGGAAAATATATAACAAGAACATGTTTGCTGGAAGGCAGTGACTAGAGTAGGGGCTATAATAGTGGCAATACTACCACTGCTACTGTCCCTGAGAATAGTGTCAGTTATTAGCTATCACCATGAATAGAATACTAGGGTAGAAATGTTGTGTCCCAGATGGTAAGTGTTATCTTCTCATAAGTACCCTTGTGTTGTGCATAAATATAATGAAGAATTCTTTGTTTTTCCTAACTAGTTAGAAATAAGATCAGTTTATTATTCATTAAAAATCATCTAGTTTGAGACAATGGATATGTTAATTACCCTGATCACTATACATTATGTGGATCAAACTATCATTATGTACCCCCATGAATATGTACAATTATACTTTATCAAGCAAAATATTAAATAAATAAAGGATTGGAAAAAATCATCTAAAACACTTCACAATATGTAAGAAAATTACATGCTATTGAAAAGGACACAGCCGGGCACAGTGGCTTATGCTTGTAATCCCAGCACTTTGGGAGGCCGAGGTGGGTGGATCACCTGAGGTCAGGAGTTCGTGACCAGCCTCAACATGGAGAAACCCCGTCTCTACTAAAAATACAAAATCAGCTGGGTGTGGTGGTGCATGCCTGTAATCCCAGCTACTTGGGAGGCTGAGGCAGGAGAATTGCTTGAACCTGGGAGGCGGAGGTTGTGGTGAGCCAAGATCACGCCATTGCGCTCCAGCCTGGGCAACAAGAGTGAAACTCCATCTCAAAAAAAAAAAAACAAAAGAAAGAAAAGAAAAGCCCACTAGGAGAGAATTAGTTTTAACCAGGGCATAGATTGATAGAGTCAAAATTAAATCAAATGAAAGAAGCATGCTCAGTATACCTACAATTACTCCAGTAGTCATGAAAAAAAGCATGAACTTTTAATTTCTCTTAGGCAGAAATTATGGCTTAATTTATTTTAGTTTCTTGTGTTCTAAATTCATGCTTCTTAGAGTAAGCTTACTTAATTATAAACATTCAGCAATACCTATGAGCCTTAGAATCTTTTATAACCAAAGAAAATTGCATATTTATCAGCACCTATGTTTCACTGAAAACATATATCTCTGCATAAGTGTTTGGTTGGTAAAGAAACAGGTCTCATCCTTCTTAATCTGTAGCCTTATGTACCTTATAGACACATTTATTTCTTGACTTTGTTTTTAAAATCTAAGCTGTCCTTTATCTATCACATTCTTCCACATAACTGAAGCTATGTAGTTGGCTTTTAAAGGTGTTTCAAACATCTATTCAAACCTGAAAATACTTTATCAGGTTATGAATCTGGAGTCCCCCATCTCAGGTCTTGATTCCTTAAGAAACATAACTAGTAGTTAAAACTTCAAAGTTTTGACATCACATTTTCATCATGATTCTGCTTTTGCTTCTTGCCTAAAGTTTTGGTCATTTATTAAGAAAATGAATGTGGATACAAAATATTGGGGATAGTTTTATTGTGGCCTGAAAAACAACCAAATTAGTTTGCCTTGAAAATCAACTAATTAGTATATAAATTAGTATCTTAGGATAAATATGTCTGTAATTAATACATGACTCTCTTATTAAATTTCTTTGTTACATGCAGCCAAAAACATAGTATTGTTGTTCCATTTAAAGCAGGATGTTTCTTCCTTCAGTACATGTTTGGGTTGTGGGATATCTGACCTTTGAGTGGGGTTTTGTTCATTTATACTATGTAAATGACAAAGCAAAGCTGAGAGAAACCTTTTCAAAATGAAACAGGTCTCTAAACCAAGTCCCTCTATCCAAGTTGCCATTCTAACTTTTTTATGCTGTCTCAGTAAAGTATCATTAGATTAGAAGTAATATAATTCACTTAAGTTAGCATAAACAAAGAAAACTTACTGAGAAGATACAGGACTCTTGCTCAGAACCCAAAGTCAGAAAGGAATAGGTGAGTCTCATGAAATGTATCTTCCAATTCTTCTTCTATCCATTTACTTACCTATTCATTCAGCAAATATTTACTGAGTACCTGCTACGTGTGACATATAGGTTTTACTTGCTACGGATAAAACAGTAAACAAAACAGATTAAAAGAAAATCATTGCCCTCATGAAGGTTACGTATTATGAAAAGACATATGGATGGAAAATAACATAACGTATCTGAGGGGGAAAAATCCATTCCATTTTTCTAGAGTATGGCATATATGCAAAAGGAGGCTAAAGAGCTAAACTGGGACAGGCCTTGCAAATGAAGCTAAAAATTCTGGTCTTAGATTAAGAGGCAGCGAAGGTCCAGTGGAAGTTTTTAGAGTAATGGCATTACCAGTCCAGTTCTTAAGAAAGCACATCTATGAACTGTGGGTAGAATGGACTGGTGAAGCAGCACGTGAAGATCAAGAGCAACTGCTATACTCCTGGCAAGAGGACATGTGGGCCTCAACCTCAGCAAGGGCAATGAGAACAGAATGAAGGAGATGAATTTGATGATGTTACATAAGTAGAACGGACATGACTTTAGTTGGATGTGTAAAATGCGGCAAGTTGTTCAAAAGTGACTGATGGTGTCATGAACTGAGGTAGTGAAGGCTGTGTGAAGAGGAGGTGGGATGATTAGATGGACTAGAGAATGATTCTTGACTTTGAAGTCATTTAGTTTAAGATGTCATTACATTTCAAATATAGAAATCCAGGCAACAGCTGGAAATACAATTTTGGAGTCCAAGAGACTTGACCAGGAATATATGTTTGGGAATCACTGCATAAAGTGTTGTGGTAGGAATAAAGGTTTACCAAGGCATGGATTACAGGGGGAAAAAATGGGACTGAGACAACTCATTGAAAGATGCCTATATTTAAGATTTGGGGGGAAAAAGGGCAAGCAAGCTCTCTTTGTCAGAGAGCTAAGAACATAAAAAAAATCCAGCAATCTCGATTTTGGTTACTATAATGTATTATTGTACATTACCTGAGGAAGAAGGAAGAAAGAAGAGGAGGTAGGAGTTAGGTGATTATGTATATAAATATACAAAAAGTTGATATAAGACAAAAGAGAAGAAAAATGAATGTTTTTAATTTATAAGCTGTTATGTTTCTAGATAACATGCATTTCCCTTTTGCAAGGATATAGAATAGGTATTACAATTTATCTCACTCAGTAGTACTTAATGGGCTAGTTTGATTACACAGATTTTATTTGAATGTACGGCATTGAACTTAAATGAAGAAAGGGTATCTGAGCAAAAGGTTTTCATCATTATTCTTCAGGACTTAATTACCTTACTCCAACATTGAGACTAGCTATTTTTACTCAGAGATATTCTAGCCAAAGATGCTCTAATTACCTTGCCATGAATAGACTCTTCTCATTCCTATTTATATAGTGCACTGCACATTTAAAATTTGCCAGTAGTTTTTAAAAGACGGTATAATACTACACCACCATAAATTAATTAAATGCAAAATGCAGGTGTGCTGGGTTTTTTTTCATTTCTAGCTAAATGAACACAACAGGACTTGCTTATTATACAGAAACAATAAAATAGGCATTGTTTGTATATCAGAGTCATAGATCACTAGTCACACAATGTTTTTAATATCATTATTTCCAGGATGAGAAGAAAATAAGTTTACAAATAAAAACATGTGGCACTTGTTCAGAAAGGACAATCATTTCCATGAGATATCCCTGGTCTAGATGTGTCTCACGGATACATTACTATGAATAATTTTTCTAAGGAATTATGCTATAACAATTTCTCTAGCACTTCCAGGAGAAAACACCTCTCTCAAATAGGGAACTGGGTAGAATACACAATTGCAAATGACATACCAATTCATCAAATGTCATCAGATCTTAGCCACTTTTTCTCTGGCTGTGGTACCATTTAGCTAAAAAGCAATCAACAGTCTTCCAAAAAGAACATGGCAGAAATGATTGAAAACTACAGGGTTGATAAATAAGAAAATAATCCTGACATTTAATAACAAAGGAAATTGCATAACTGTATTGTTCAGAGAAAAAACAGAAGACAAACAAAAGTACTTAACAGATTTACTAAACCCATATCTGAGACACACTGAAGACTGTATAAAACCACATTAAAAAGATGTTCTCTCACAGGATGGTGGAAAATAGAAAAAATAACAATGAGTCGATAACAGGTCTCAGGGCTTGTTTTACAGCAACAACAACCTGAAATTGTTTGTAGAGAAGATAAGGGTTTCTCTTCCAAGAGTGAAAAACGGAAGGGTCTTTATTATCACTTAGCACAAATCATACACATTATGCGAAATCAGGGAAAAGAAATGCTTCCATTTGTTTGAACACTCATAATACTCATATAATTTTTTATTCACTTACAAATTTAAGACTCTTTTGAAAATCAACCAGAACAAGCTACTCAGTAGTGAAAATCCATTCATATTAAAGCATGCCTTTACTGGGCACCTACTGAGTCCAAACACTACCCTGTAGAGAATACAAAACGAAATAAACCATGGTTTTTACATTTAAAAATCTTGCATTATATGAAAAGATAACTCTGTTTGGTGAATATAAAACACAGTACATTAAAGATACTTAATAGTAAATCAAAATTCAGCAATATTTTATTATCTACCATCAGGTTTTAGGGTTCATTGACCCTCAGAAGTACTTGTCTGATTCACTTTGAGCCAATTCACTACTCCTTTAATTTTTTTCTCCTCTGGTTTATTACCATCACCAAAAGAGTGTGACAAGATAGTAAATCAATTTTCTTTGGTTTGATTTTTTTTCTTTTTTGCTTCTCATTAGCAGCTATGGTAAAAAGAAGTTGCTATATGAAGTTTTGAAACCACTAATAATACTAAAATAAGAGATGGAGGTTATTTGCATCAATTACCTATTACAGTTATATCAAAAAGCATATAATAAAAAATTGATACTATAGGGAATAGGGTGTTTGAAGGTACTGGTATTTTTTTAACATATGTTTATTTTTCCATGGTATCTCTGATACTTTATTTTTAAATACAGTATTTGGTGAATTATGCATCAGTGTAACATGGCAACCCTACACCAACAAGCCTAATTCTAACAGCTACCTTTTCTTAATTTTCTAAATTTAATTTTTAAAAATTGTATTAAAGCAATACATGTATATGGTTTTAAAACAGTACTATACTATTAGGCTTAAATGAAAAGCAGCAGTATTCTGTCCCATTCCTCTGCACTTCAGACTCTTACTCATTTTAGGTGAACATTGTCAATTTATTAAGCTATTTCTTCTCATATTTTCAAACATTGTTCCTTAAATTCTTTTTAAATTGACAAGTAAAAATTAAAATTATGGTGTATAAGGTAAGTTTCCGCCTCCCAGGCTCAAGGGATCCTCCCGCCTCAGCCCCCCAAGTAGCTGGGACCACAGGCACGCGCCTCCACATCCAGCTAATTTTTGTATTTTTTTTGTAGAGATGAGGTTTCGCCATGTTGCCCAGGGTGGACTCGAACTTCTGAGCTCAAGCAATCCAACCACATTGGCCTTTCAAAGTGCTAGGATTACAGGTGTGAGTTTTTTTTATTACTATTATTTCAATAGTTTTTGGGGAACAGGTGGTTTTTGGTTATATGAATTAAGTTCTTTAGCAGTGATTTCAGAGATTTTGGTGCACCCATAACCCAAGCAGTGTACACTTTACCCAATGCGTAGACAACATGATGTTTTGATATATGCATACACTGTAAGGTGGATAAATCAAGCTATTTAACACACGCATTACCTAATATACTTATCATTTTTTTGTTGTATAGAGATCTTTCACTTCCTTGCTTAAATTTATTCCTATTTTTTGTAGCTATTGTAAATGGAATCGTTTTCTTCATTTCTTGTCAAACAGTTCCTTGTTACTGCACAGAAACACAACTGATTTTTGTATTTACATATATATTTCTAAATGACGTACTGCCATTTCCTGATTTTTTAAATTTGTTTTAATTATTGTGTATCACAAGGTTGTTTTCTGTAAAGGGCCAGACAGTAAATATCTTAGGCTTTGTGGGCCGTATAACCTCTTTCTGACTATTTATCTCTGCCATGGTAGCACCAGAGTGGCTATAGACAATATGTAAATATCAAATATACACTTAGCAATGTTCAAGTATACAATATATTATCATTAAGTATAATTACCATGATATACAATAGATCTCTTGAACTTATTCCTCCTATAAAAGTGAAATTTTTGTGTCCCTTGACCAACATCTTCCCAATCCTCCAGCCTCCAGCCTCTGGTAGTTAGCATTTTACTTTGTTTCTATGAGTTCAACTTTTTTAGATTGCACGTAAGAGATCATGTGGTATTTGACTTTCTGTGCCTAGTTTATTTCACAGAATATAACATCTTCCAGGTTCATTCATGTTTATGTATATGACAGAATTTCTAACTTTTTAAAGGCTGGATGGTATTCCATTATGTATTCACATTTTCTTTTTCCATTCATCCACTGATGGACTCAGGTTGATGACATATCCTGGCTATTGTGATTAATACTGCAATGAACATGGGAATGAAAATATCTCTTTGACATACTGATTACATTTCCTTTGGATATATACCCATTATTGGGATTACTGGATCCTATGGTGGTTCTATTTTTAATTTTTTTAGGAACATCCATGCTGTTTTCCATAATGGTTGTACCAATTTATATTCCCACCAACAGCGTGCAAGGGTTCCCTTTTCTCCACATCCTCATTGACACTTATCTTTTGTCTTTTTGCTAACAGTCATTCTAACAGGTGTGAAGTGACATTTTGGTTTTGATTTGCATTTTCCTGATGATTAGTGATGTTCAGCATTTTTTAGTATACAACTTCCTGTGTTTATTTCAAGTATTTTTCAGTACAAGCAAAAATTCAGAACACATTTTGTACAAAAAAAAAAAAGGTCTTCACAAATGCCCATGTGTTTGCTAGATTTTAAAATATGTACCGATATAATGTTTTGGGAATAAAGTTTGGGCCAAAATGTGAAAAAGAACTGGCTAGAGTAAACGAAATATTCTTGACTACCCTGATTCTAGGAAAATAAAATAAAACCTGACACTGTCTGCTGTTACCAAAAATCACAATCTAACAGCAAATGCCAGATGGATTTTAAATCATATTATAGCTTTTCTCAATCTGAAAGGTAAGGCTCCTCAAGGAGTCAAAGGAGAATTCTGCTTGTAGAGCTTTCCCAGACTTTTGCTTTGATCACTGCCAAATCTGTAAAGATATGCAAATTCCTCTTATAGCACTGAACATTTTTTTATATACCTGCTGGCCATTTTTATGTCTTCTTTTGAGAAGTGTCTATTCAGGTATTTTGCCCATTTTTAAATCAGGTTGTTTTCTTACAATTGAATTGATTCCTTATATATTTTGGATATTAACCCCTTATCAGATGTATGGTTGGCAAATATTTGCACCCATTCTGTAGGATGACTCCTCACCCTGTTGTTTCTTTTGCTGTGCAGAAGCTTTTTCATTTGATTCAATTCTATTTGTCTACCTTTGCTTCTGTTGCTTGTGCTTTTGGAATTATATCTAAAACATCATTGCCCAGACCAATGTCATGGAGCTTTTCCCCTACACTGTCTTCTAGTAGTTTTACAGTTTCAGGTTTTACATTTAAGTCTTCATTTTGACTTGAATTTTTGTATATGG
Organism: Homo sapiens; assembly: GCF_000001405.40. NCBI lineage: Eukaryota > Metazoa > Chordata > Mammalia > Primates > Hominidae > Homo > Homo sapiens. The sequence continues at coordinate 174,504,705 of NC_000001.11, read as the reverse complement.
TATGAAATGAGGCTCTAATTTCATTATTCTGCACATGGATATCCAGTTTTCCTAGGACCATTTATTGAAGAGACTGTCTTTTCCATCTTGTGTGTTCTTGGCATAGTTGTCAAAAATCAATTGACTATAAATGTATTTACTTCTGGGCCCTCTCTTCTGTTTTATTGGTCTATGGTTCTGTTTTTGTGCCAGTACCATGCCGTTTTGGTTATTATACCTGTGTATTGTATTTTGAAGTCAGGTTGTGTTATGCTTCCAGCTTTGTTTTTATTTGTTTGGTTTTTTTTTTTTCCCTCAAGTTTGCTTTGGCTATTCAGGGTCTAAACAGGATTTAAACAAATAAGATTTAAACAATCCTAAAACAAGTTTTAGGGTTATTTTTTCTATTTCTGTGAAAAAAGTTATTGGAATTTTGATAAAGGGTGTTGAGTCTGGCCAGGCGTGCTGGCTCATGCCTGTAATCCTAGCACTTTGGGAGGCCAAGGTGGGCACATCACTTGAGCTCAAGAGTTGGAGACAAGCCTGGGCAACATGGCGAAACCCTAACTCTACAAAAAACACAAAAATTAGCCAGGCATGGTGGCTGATACCTGTAGTCCCAGCTACTCAGGAGGCTAAGTTGAGAGGATGGCTTGAGCTCTGAAGGCGGCGTTTGTGGTGAGCCGAGATTACACCACTGCACTCCAGCCTAAGTAACAGAGCCAGACCTTGTCACAAAAAAAAAAAGAAAAGAAAAAAAAAAGAGTCTATTGAATCTGTAGATTGTTTTAGGTAGTATGGACATTTTAACAATATTAATTCTTCTAATCTATGAACACAGGATATATTCCCATTTGTTTGTGTCCTCTTCAATTTATTTCATCAATACTTTATAGTTTTCAGTGTAGAGGTCTTTCATCTCCTTGGTAAAATTTATTCCTGAGTAATTTTTTTGTAGCTATTGTAAATGGAATTGTTTTCTTCATTTCTTGTTTAGATAGTTCCTTATTACTGCATAGAACACAACTGATTTTTTTTGTATTTACATTTCTTTTTTTTTTTTTTTTTGACGGAGTCTCGCTCTGTTGCCCAGGCTGGAGTGCAGTGGTGCAATCTCGGCTCAGAGCAACCTCCGCCTCCCGAGTTCAGGCAATTCTCCTGCCTCAGCCTCCCCAGTAGCTGGGACTACAGGAGCCCATCACCACATCTGGCTAATTTTTTGTATTTTTAGTAGAGATGGGGTTTCACTGTGTTAGCCAAGATGGTCTTGATCTCCTCACCTCATGGTCCACCCACCTTGACCTCCCAAAGTGCTGGGATTACAGGCATGAGCCATCATGCTGGGCCTTACATGTATATTTCTAAATGATGAACTGCTATTTCCTGATTTTTAAAATTTGTTTTAATTATTGTGTAGCCAGATAGTAAATATCTTAGGCTTTGTGGGCCATATGGATTCTTTCTTGACAATTCATCTCTGCCATAGTGGCACCAGAGCAGCTGTAGACAATATGTAAATAAACAGGAGTAGCTGTGTTCCAATGAAACTTTATTTTGAAGTAACAGTGGGCAGCTGGATTTGGACTCCAGGTCATAGTTTGCAAACCCCTTATCTACTGACTTCGCAACATGGAAGATGAGAATACAGCACTTACCCACCCACCAACACATATGCCCATGGTCATGTCTGCACTCACATATGTATGTATGCACAAGCACATGAATGAACACACATACACACACTCTCTTCTACTACATCTATTACCCTAATATCATTATATCTCCAATTTAGGTTAATCACTATTTATTGTCTTATAACCACATATCTGTTATTCACAGTTAGGCCATATAATGTTCTATAATTATGTATTCTTGTTCAAGCTTGGTTTTTCCTAGAGTTAGTAACTGTGTCATTTTTGCATTTGAAAAGTTTCACTAATTCATCTCATATTCTCTGAAAGAATTTCTGGAATATTCTGGAATATAAATATATATATGTGTGTGTGTGTATATATATGCACATATATGTATATATACACACACATATATGTATATATACACACACACATATATATGTACATATATATACACACATATATATGTACATATATATACACACATATATGTACATATATATATATATATATATACCGTGTACTTTCTTCTGCATTATCTCTGTTTCTCTTGAGTTGTTTCCTGAGTTTCCTTTTTTTCTGTTTTGTGTTATTTGGTTTTCATTCACAATAAAGGTATTCCTTGAAAATCTAGTAATTCTAGACTATTTTATATATTAAATACTAAAGAACTAAAAGAACTAAAAATGTGATCAGAAGCTCTGTGGACTTCAGTGGGGTTTGTTCAAGGGTGTGCCTCATTGTCAGTGGAGTAGTGACCTGGCCAGCTCTTTGGGATTCTTTTCCTTTGGAATAGTCAGTTTCTCCAGAGACGAATCTGTCAATTATTGCCTATGTAATATAAATTTGGTTGCTAATATTCTGCCTGGCATTCTAGCTGCTTATAATAATTAATGAACTTTTTGCATACTTGTTGCTTATAAAAAGTTCACTATGTTAGCAAATTTATTTTTATATACATTTCAGTAACTATAAAGAGCACCAAATTCTGATGCATATTATAATTAATATAATTTTCTATTTATAATTTTCATGGTTTCTGCCTAATATTATATATTTTTCTTTCTTTTAATTAAGAGTTTCCAAAGATAATAGTAGTTCTAGTAAAACAGCAGAATTTTAGAAATGAAAGAAACCCGTAAACCTAGGTCAGCTCTATTTATAAAACTGAAAGTCAAAAAAAAAAACAGGTATCCTAAGAATCCCAGAAGGATATTTTCCCCTAGAAAGAGAGCATATATGCCATATCAAATATTCTCTAAATGGGTATTTTTTTCCCCACTGAAAACCTATTTGGAACCAAGAGCAATCAAGTGTTTTAGAAACACTAACACCTACTAAGTTATGGATTTTTAAAAAAATGTTAATAAAAAGATACTATCTCTTTAAAAAAACAAAAAGTAAAGTGTTATGCAATGGACTGTTAGTACATGGCAGCTCTTCCAAAAATTATTTTTTAAGCCAGCAATAAAAATGACAACTTACTACTGTCACTGAACAACTAAATCTTCTCACAATGCCTTAAATGCCCATCAGTGATGCAACTAAGAGATTTTACGAAGGCATAGCAGGAGAAAAGCAAGTAATAAAAGTAAACAAAGTGAGGCCAGGCACGGTGGCTCATGCCTGTAATCCCAGCACTTTGGGAGGCCGAGGCACATGGATCACTTTAGGTCAGGAGTGCAAGACCAGCCTGGCCAACATGGTGAAACCCCCTCTCTGCTTAAGGAGGTCGCCTGTAGTCCCAGCTACTCAGGAGACTGAGGCAGCAGAATCGCTTGAACCCGGGAGGCAGAGGTTGCAGTGAGCCGTGATGGCCCCAGTGCACTCTAGCCTGGGCGATAGAGTGAGACTCCATCTCAAAAAAAAAAAAAAAGAGTAAACAAAGTGAGAAAATCAAGTTAAGTTTAGAAAATGTAGGGTCTCAGAGGGCATGGAAGATTCTGTGTCTTTCCCAAGCTTTTGGCCTTGCCCTAGATTTTTGACTCCAGAAATACTAAGAGAACTGAGAGAAGTACATTTACAACAGGAAATGCTTATTCCTCAGTTTAGATCACTAAGGTTATTCTCTTAAGAAATTAGAAAATGTTTAGTTTCTTCTACTCAATTAAGGCAATGAATTTGTAAAAAACAAATGACAAAAAAAGCAACTTGGTCTTTAATGTCAGCGGCAGGTAAAAAGACAGTCTCAATGATTCATCACTCCCATTTAATTATCAACCAATATCTACCAAATCTTTTATAGAAGGCCCATGTCCTCATGAGCACTGAGTTTTTTACTGGAACTCAGGGATACCATGCCTCCTTCCTTCCTTCTCAATCAGGAGCTGAGCTTTGCTATGAAATAAGAAATTATGGATAATAATATCTATATCAGAAGGTTATGGCATTAAATGAGTGTATGGGAGTTACTTGTCATATAGACACTTAATAAACTACGGTTCCTATCCCTTTGTTTTCGTTTAACTGTATTTACTATACCCTACTTCTATAATACTTATCACACTACTGTGATTGTCAATCAGTTCCTTTCACTATGAATATCTGCAGGGTAGGAACTTTATAGTTCTCATTTCATGCACAGTACCCAGTGCATAACAGGGTCTCAAGTGAACAAATCAAACTAACAGAGCCTCACACTTTAAATGAATGATACATTGAGGGGGCCAGTATGTGGTACAATGAACAGCGTTCCACTTATAAGAAACCCACCGGCTGAGCTCAGTGGCTCACACCTGTAATGCCAGCACTTTGGGAGGCCGAGAAGGGTGGATTACCTGAGGTCAGAAGTTTGAGACCACCCTGGCCAATGTGGTAAAACCCTGTCTCTACTAAAAATACAAAAATTAGCTGGGCGTAGTGGTGTGCGCCTGTAATCTCAGCTACTCTGAAAGCTGAGGCAGGAGAATCGCTTGAACCCGGGAGGCGGAGGTTGCAGTGAGTTGAGATCGCATCATTGCAGTCTAGCCTGGGCTACAAGAGCAAAACTCCATCTCAAAAAAAAAAAAAAAAGAAGAAGCCTGCCACAAGTAATTTATACTGGGTAAATCACTTCACTACTCCAAACATAATTTTCTTTCTTGTAAAATAAGAGGTTTGGACTAAATGATCCCCAAATTCCCTTCAGCTCTAAAAGTTTATGATTACATAACTATGACTCTAAACAGTTTAGAAGTTATTAGGGTCTAAAATTAATAACATTATAATATATGAACTTAAAAGAGAGTCCCAGGAACAGAAATTGAAAACAGAGAGAGAAAGCTATGAAAGTGATGTGATATATGTTTCAGATTTGATTTTATTTTCTCACACTATACAACACTAGAACTGTTGTCATTGCTACAATTAGCAACAACTACCATTTACCAACCCTCAATAAGTGCCAGGCACTGCGCTAAACATCTTATCATTTCATCTTCACAATAATTCGTTGAGATAATTGCCATCACTCCCATTTCATAACCAAGGAAACTGAGGCTCGGAATGGTAGCCCAAGGTAACATTGCTTGAAATGGATGAAGCTCTGACTCAGGCCAATGTGTGTTTGATGCCAAAACCCACCACTAAGAATCCATGTTTCTAGGTATCCAAGCTTTCCAATACTATATAAAATAACCTCAATACTTGTAAACATCAAATTGAAATCCAACAAAAAAGTAAAAACAATAATCCACATTTTGTTATTTTCTATGCCAAAATATACCTGTAGTTTTCCTAAATGTTCTAAGTCATATGAACGGTATACACTAATTTGAAAATCTTTGAAGATTACAATCATCTTTCTACTATGCTATTAATTTTAAAATTAATCCACATAAAATAACTTAAATTTTTTTAATTTAAGTGTTTTTAACTTAAATTTCTAAGTTCTGTAAAAGATTTAATCAAGAATATATAAACTATAAGAATATATGAACTGTAAGCCACTCCCCATATCATAATGCATTATATGTGGTAGCAATTTTGCATAAAGAAACTCATTTTTAATTTTCCCCCCAGTTCTACTGGATATGTTCATTGTGATATTTTGGCCTTTTGTAAGATTGAAAAAAAATGAGGGGGTAAATAATTACAACTTACTAATAATTAGAAAACCTACTCTACTTATTAAAATAATTCCTAATGTTATCCAAAAGGAATTTAAACTATAAACAAAAATTCTCTACAGAAATCAAAGAAAATAATATCAAATTTATTTCACTAGATAACATATCAAAGAGTCAATTCTTGGCTTTTTGAGGAGAAAGTAATGCTAAAAAGTCACAATTAAAATTTTGTTTCAGGCCAGGCGCGGTGGCTCACACCTGTAATCCTAGCACTTTGGGAGGCCGAGGTTGGTAGGTCACTTGAGGTCGCGAGTTCAAGACCAGCCTGGCCAATAGGGTGAAACCCCATCTTTACTAAAAATACAAAAAAAAAAAAAAAAAATTTAGCCGGGCGTGGTGGCATGCGCCTGTAATCCCACCTACTCAGGAAGCTGAGGCAGGAGAATTATCTGAACCCAGGAGGCAGAGGTTTCAGTGAGCCGAGATCGCATACCACTGCACTCCAGCCTGGGCAACAAAGCAAAACTCTCTCAAAAAAATAAAAAATAAAAAATAAAAATAAAATAACGTTTTGTTTCAGTTTAAATATATGTATTTCCCATATCCATAAGTTCAATAGACCTGGTTTTTCAAAGTCGCACAGTAATAATAACAAATCATTAAAATGAAGCTTGTAAAACCAATTTGAATTCAACAAGACCTTTTAATTAATTAGCATTCCTAAGCAATATGTGAATATTACAAACATAATCACGTATGGTTAATATTTATGGAAGCATATGCATATTTCTATAAATATATGTAGTTAGGTTTACATATACATTCATATATTACTTCACTCTTCTTTTGTTGAATATACTCTTCTCAATTATCATATTTCAAATCTAAATGAAAAATACATATCAGTGAATTCAAAGCTAAAAAAAACTTAAAGGCCTAAATGATATTATCTTTTCCAAGCATAATTTGGAACTTTAAAAATGTGAAATAAAAAAATAAAACTTGTTTTAAAATAAGCCTCTAAGGTAATGCACTTTCAGGGATTTTATCTTTCCTTTTGGGAGGTATTATAGTGATCACTCTATAGATAAGAACTCTGAGATAAAATCAGTCAGTAAAATTAATTTGAAGACAGTCACTGTCAGAGCTACTAATACTGTAACATGTAACTCCCTGACATTAATAGAGATACTCAACAACAGATGAAGTAGCTAATCAGTTTCTTCAGTTAAGCAAATCAATAACCAACCTACACAGGGTTCTTGGAATCTTTTGTTCAAATGACAAGGTCACTGCTCTTTATAAGCAGTCTTTGTTGGACTGAGAGAGAGAAAATAAAAACAGCAAGGGAATCTGTAAGAAGCTGCCAATGACAAAAGGGCAAAGAGTGGGAGGGAAAGAGGAGCATAAGAACAGGCTCAGAGAATCAGTGTGCCAGAAAGACCTCAGGCAATAAAAGGAGGGAAATAGAATTCATGCAACAGAGAAGGACCAGAAAACCAAATGGGACAAGGGAGTGGGGGAGAAGGAACATGGGAAGACAGAATTTACACAAACACAGTAAGGTTTTGAAGGACAGGGCTGAAAACAAAAATGCAAGGCAGTGGAAGGCAATATAGCTTCCTTATTTAAGAGAATGAACTTCAAAGTATACATGGAAGTTCCTTAACTTGCAGTTTCCTCATATACAGCACATTGATCCTTGCAAAGTATTACATATGGGCACAGTGCTGGATACATAATAAACACTCACTAATGTTAGCTATTACTATACTTGATAAAAGGAAAAGAGATCCTATTTAAGTTAATGTGATATGGTGAAGATATGATGGAATATTTCAGTAAAGATAGCTACAGGCAACCAGAAGTTGCTATATACTCACACAAAATTCTATTAATATTAAAGCTAATAGAAAAAATATAGAAACTTGTGTATGTTGCCATATGATTTACCCTTGGGTATGCCTTACATGTGGTAGAAGAACCTAGAGAGATACTCCCCAGTAGTGTGTGCACATGTGTGTGTATGCTGGAGAAGGGTGATAAAATTTATACACAATGACTGAGACATTCAAGAAATATATAATTTCATTTCTACATTTTATATCATTTTTCTCTGCAGCATCGATTTTCTCTAATAGTGATGGGTGTGGGTAGGATGGGCAGTTGTCACAAATTTACCAACTAAACATAACTTGGTCTCCTAGTTTAAAGCAGTCTCTTTCAGGCAAACAATCTTTCCATAAAAAGTCCAACTTCTTTAAGGAATCTCTCTACTCTCTCTTCATTCCTGGGATGGCAACTAGGTACAAGGAGGAAGCTGAGTTGTTTCATGGTCATGGTGGAGAGGACACGCGTGCTAGTTCACTTGCTGTAGGTCAGGCAATTGGTTGCCTTCAATTGAGATATTTATCACTTGACCTGGTCACTAAATATCCTGTGCTTGTTGTGTTCACTGAGATTTGGCTGGTCTTCTTGGCAACCACTACTGATGCCCTCAAATTTTGCTGTATCTTCTGGTTTTAAGGTCCAAGTATTCTGCAGCCTCCATGCTCTGTTTATAGGCTTTGGCCAGTCTACCAGTGCTCTTAGAAGTTCTCTATCCCTTAGAGGGTCGTCTTTCTCAGACAATCTTGCTGTTCTCAGATTCTCTCCAGAACCTAACTGACTGTTTTCACTATTACTATCACTATCACTGTCAATACCTCCCTGTTTCCTACTTTTGAAGTTCAGCTCCTGAAAAGGTATACAGGGGAATAAAGACACTGACCTACGGCTCTTCTTCTCAACACTGGAAAGGATTTTCCTTCTAATGTGGCAAAAATTGTCCATGTATCATCTTCAGTCCTTTCTACACCATAGAGTATAGTGGAATTATGTACAGATTTTCAAATTTTGTTAATACATATTGTGAAATTTCTAGAATTTAGAAAATCTTCATTTGTTTCAGGAAAAAACCCTAAACTTTCATGTCTACAGTTTGACATAGAAAAAAAAATTTAAACTCAAAGTTAAAAATATTAGTCTTGGCTGGATGTGGTGGCTTACATCTGTAATCCCAGCACACTGGCAGGCTGAGGCAGGAGAAATGCTTGTGTCCAGGGTTCGAGAGCAACCTGGGTAACACAGCAAGATCTCATCTCTAAAAAATAAAATAAGTCTTTGACCTAGTAATTCTACTCCTGGGAATTTATCCTATCGATAAACTCATATGTGTGCAAAATGATGTGTGGCTAGGGATTTTCACCGCAGCATCATTTGTGAAAGCATAAGATGAGGAACTGAAGTAATATCTACCAGTAAGATATGATTACTATAACTAATTAAAAAGAATGAGGTAGTTTAATATGTACCAATCTAGAACTATAGCAAAGGTATTACTTGAAAAAAGCAAGGTGTACAAGAGTGTAAACTATGTACTGTTTGTGTATACAGAACTGAATGACAAAGAGAAAGAATGCTGGTGGGTTGGGGAGAAAGAAGGAGGAGATTTATGTACAATTAGATCCTTTTGGATCTTTTGAATTTTGTTCCTGAAGAAGTATTTTACATTAAGATAAGAATTTATTTTTATAAAATGTAAGTCTCAGAGCTGAGCAATTACTCCTACATTTTAGACTGTATCTACCTCTCTCCTGAAATAATGAATGCAGATGATTCCATAGGTGAATGGGGGAAGAGCTAGAAAAAGAGGAGCAAGGGAAAACTTGGGGGGAAAAAAAGTATATTGTTTTAATAATCCCTAAAGATTACTCACATCCCCATAGAAACTAAGCTAAATTTCACTCTCTGACTTTCACTCCATGAATTTGTGAGACTAGAAGTTACACTGAAACAATGAGAGTTCATGATATATATCTTCCAGAGGGAGGCAGTTTCCATCAGACACACCACTTATGGTAAAAAGAATCCCCAGACTAGGGCAAACACTCATTATAAGCCTTACAACCCAGGCTGCAGAGTACTACATGCTTTGGGGAAGTTAGAAGCTAACCACAGGCAATTCAATTCTTCTAAAGGAGGATAAGGGATTGATAAGGGGGTCAATGCTAGAAGGTAAATTATTTTCTTACCAAAGGTGTCTTCCCTGCCCTGTAGAAACTGAGCATCCCTCAGTAGGCAGGACTTGGCAAAGACTTATCGACTTGATGCACTCAAGTCTCCCCAACTTTGACTTGTTTGTGTATATTCCAACACCCTCTCCCCTTTTTCCTGGCTATGAAAGAATGGGTACTAGTATTCCCTGCACCAGGTACTTCCTGCAGCCCCTAGTAACCTAGGTTCCAGGGTAAATGAAACCCACAGTGAAAGGTAGAGTCGGAGCAAATATGTATAAGAAGATGAGAGAAAAGTGGTTTAAAATGACATTCTAAAAGACCAGAGATTTTGGCTGTTAGGAATTCTTTCTACTGGCCACCTAAAAATTTTACGTTAGTAATGAAAACAGAGAAAATAAATTAGCTTTAACTTTAATCATCTAAATAGGAGGCAAAACAATTAATGATTAAGACTCTGAAACCAGATATTCATAGGCCCAAATCTCCAGAAATAATTTCATTTCACATGGAAAACCAAGAAAACTTTGTAAATTATAATTACTTTGTAGGAATTATCTCCAAGGAAAACTTTTCCCTAATAAAACAACAACAATAATTCAACGGAGGATGAGATGAATAGAGTGTCAAAGTCTACTGAGCAGGTCTGTGGTGCTTTAAATAGCAGCAAAACAGAACAAATTTCCTTTCCTATCATATTTTTACAAGGAACAGCACCTATTGTCCCAAGGGAAAAACAGAACATCAACACAAAAGCAGCATGGCTGAAGATGTCTGTGGCTTTATCTGCAGGAGCCCATCAACAGACATAAACCCATTTACCTCTACATAAACCTTTCCAAACCACCAACAGAGTATTATTTTCAAAAGAAATAGATCAATGCCATTTTCTTTCTTAAAAAACTATACACGATGTTCTAAATATATACTCCCAAAATTACTAGGCTCCAAAGAAGGAAAGTCAGAAAAAATAAAATTATTTGTTTGAAAAATACCATCTAACTGAAAAATGGCAACTGCCAAAAAGTATTTAAGTTCAAATATAAATGTGAAACAATGTCAAGATGTCAACTTTGAACTCTGGATAAACCTCAAATACCTTACTTAAAAGTAGATTTTGCTGTTACAGGAGGTTACATTCTGCCTATACTTTTTTTTTTTTTTTTTTTTCAGACAGGGTCTCACTCCCATTTCCCAGGCTGAAGTGCACTGACATGATCTCGGCTCACTGCAGCCTCAACCTCACGGAGTCAGGTGATTCTCCCACCTCAGCCTCCCAAGTAGCTGAAACTACAGGTGCACACCACCATGCCAGGCTGATTTTTCGTATTTTCAGTAGAGACAAAGTTTTGCCATGTTGCCCAGGCTGGTCTTGAACTCCTGGACTCAAGCAATCCACCCACCTCAGCCTCCCAAAGTGCTAGGATTACACGCATGAACCACCACATCTGGCCAAGCCTATAAAATTATCATCAACTTTAATATTGGGTAGGGCTATGAACTTCAACAAATGAGCTAATAAACAACCTAAAAACAATATTCATATCTACCTAGACTGAGAGTATTATTTTGGACACATCTGAGATTACTAGTAAATTTCATGAGTGTTATTCTAGATATAAATTTTCTTATATATTTTTCTCTGCTCTGTTGCCCAGGCTGAAGTACAGTAGTGTGATTCTAGCTCACTGCAGCCTCAAACTCCTAAGCTCAAGCACCTCCCCACCTCAGTCTCCCAAGTAGCTAGGACTACAGGCATGTACCAACACACCTGGCTAAAATTTTGTTTAACTTTTTGCAGTGACAGGATCTAGTATGTTACCTAGACTGGTCTCAAACTCTTGGGCTAAGGCAAGCCTCCTGCCTCAGCCTCCAAAGTGCGAGATTACAGGTGTGAGTCACTGTGCCTGGTCTAAATATTTATTAAAATATACATTATGCCAAGCCTGGGAATGCAACAATGATGAAAAAGAGACATAGTCCCTAACCTCATGGAGCTTAAAGCCTAATGAAAAAGATAATTAAATGGACAATAATGCTGCAATGTATTAAGGCTACGGTGGAAGTACAAGGTGCTATGGAAACAAAAAGTGAGTATACCTGCTTATACATATGGAAGAGGGGAAGGAAAGGCAGTGAGTGATGAAGGAAGAAACCCTTCACAAAAGGCTTAAGATTTAAATCAAAATTTTTAAAATCCGTAGGACTTATTCAAAGGGAAGGAGAACAAAGCCTTCATGTAATGGAAGTATTATTTGTGTAAGAGAGGAGGAATAGGGACAGTACAGTTGAGGCAGGGTGGGTGGAGATAAGAATACAGTGCATTTGAAGAATTAAAAGTAGACCAGGCACGGTGGCTCATGCCTGTAATCCTAGCACTTTGGGAGGCTGAGGCAGGCGGATCGCCTGAGGTCAGGAGTTCGAGACCAGCCTGGCTAACACAGTGAAACCCCGTCTCTACTAAAATTACAAAAGAACTAGCCGAGAGTGGTGGCATGTGCCTGTAAACCTAGCTACTCAGGAGGCTTAGATGGAGAATCGCTTGAATCTGCGAGGCAGAGGTTGCAGTGAGCCAAGATCGTGCCACTGCACTCCAGCCTGGGCGACAAGAGCGAGACTCCATCTCAAAAAAAAAAAAAAAAAATTAGTCAGGCGTGGTGGCATGCACCTGTAATCCCAGCTACTCGGGAGGTTGAGGCAGGAGAATCACTTGAACCTGGGAGGCGGAGGTTGCAGTGAGCCAAGGTTATGCCACTGTACTCCAGTCTGAGCAATAAGAGTGAAATTTTGTCTCAAAAAAAAAAAAAAAAAAAAAGTAATTCGACATAGAGGGTGGAGCAAGATGGCGGAATAGAAAGCTACACTGATTGTCTTCCCAAGAGGAATACCAAATTTATTAACTACACCAAAAAAGCACCTTCTAAGAACCAAAAATCAGGTAAGCATTCACACTACCTGGTTTTAACTGAATATTACAGAAAGAGGCATTGAATAGGGCAGGAAAAAGTCTTGAACTGCCAACACAATCATTCCCTCATCCCCCAGCAGTGGCTGCATGGCAAGAAGAATCTGTGCATCTGGGGAGAAAGAATGCAGTGATTGTGACACGCTGCACTTAATTCAGTGCTGTCCTGTCATAGCAAAAGCAGAACCAGGCTGTACTTAGCTGACAGCCACTCATGGAAGGAGCATATGGACTGGCTCTAGCCAGATGGGAATCACCCATCTGAGCAGTCAAAATCTGAGTTCCAGCAAGCCTTGCCACTGCAGGATGGAGTGCTCTGGGCACCTAAATAAACTTGAAAGGCAATCTAGGCCATAAGGACTCTAAGTCGTAGGTGAGTCCTTGTGCTGGGCTGGTGTCAGAGCCAGTGGACTGGGGGGACATGTAACTTACTGAGACACCAGACACAATGGTTAATACAGTGCTTGCACCACCCTCCTCCAGCTCCAGGCTGCAAAAGAGACCCCTTGTGGCTCCAAAAGGGACCCCTTGCTTCTGCTTGAGGAGAGGAAAGGGAAGAGTAAAGAGGATTTTAACTTGCATCTTGGATACCAGCTCAGCCACAGTAGGATAGGGTACCAGACAATGTTGTGAGACCCCCATTTCAGGCCTTAGCTCCCAGAAAGTATTTTGAGAAACTCCCTCAGCCAGAAGGGAACGCATTGACTTGAAAGGAAGTACCCAGTCATGGCAGATCCCATCACCTGTGGACTAAAGAACCCTTTGGCCCTGAATAACCAATGCAATACTCATGGAGTATGCCATGGGTTTTGGGTGAGACTCTGAGACATGTTGGCTTCAGGTGAGACACAGCACTTTCCCAGCTGTGGTAGCTATGATGACAGACTCCATCTACTCGAAGAAAGCAGAGGAAAAAGTAAACAGGACTTTGTCTTGCATCTTAGGTACCAGCTAGGCCACAGGGAGATAGAGCATGAGGCAGGTTCTTGGGGTCCCCGATTCCAGGCCTTGGCTTTTAGATGGCATTTCTGAGTCTGCCATGGGCCAGAGGGGAGCCCACCACCCTGAAGGGTGAGTCCTAGGTCAGGCAACATTCACCATAAGCTGACTAAAGAGCACTTGGGCTTTAAATGAACATTGGTGGAAGCCTGGCAGTACTCCCCATGGGCCTGTGTTGGTGATGGCCGTGGGCTGAGGCTCCTCTGCTTGTGGAAAGAGGAGGGAAGAACGGGAAAAACCGTGACTCGTGGCTTAGGCTCAGGCACAGTACAATGGAACATCAGGTAGATTTAGAAGGTTTTCATTCTAGTCCCTAGCACCTGGACAGCTACTCTAGACCCATTTGGGCCTAAGGGAACTCACTACCCTGAAAGGAAAAACACAAGACTTTCTGGCATTGCTACCTGCTGATTGTAGAGCCCTAGGGCCTTCAGAGAACATAGGCGATAACCTGGTAGTGGTTATACTGGGCCTTGAGTGAGACAAAATGCTATGCTGGCTCCAGGTCTGACCCAGTGCAATCCCAGTGGTGGTAACCACAGGGGCACTTGTATCAACCCACAGCTCCAGGCAGCTCAACATAGAGAGAACTCTGTTGGTTTGGAAGAAAGCAAGGGAAGAGAACAAGTGTCTCTGCCTGGTAATCCACAGAACTCTTCCAGATCTTATCTAAGACCACGAAGGCGGCATCTTATGAGTCTGTAAGAACCACAGTGTTACCGGGCTTGGGGTGCCCCTTCATGCAGGCAGTGCTTAGATCACAACACCCAAGTACTTGAGAATTCCTGGAAAGCCTTCCCAAGAAAGACCGTTACAAATAAGCCCAGAATGAGAAGACTACAATAAATACCTAACCCTTCAATGTCCAGACACCAAAGAATATCTACAACCATCAACATAATCCAGGAAAGCATGACCTCACCAAACAAACTAAATAGGGCACCAGGGACCACTCTTGGAGAAAGAGACACATGGTACCTTTCAGACAGAGAATTCAAAATACCTGTTTTGAGAAAACACAAAGAAATTCAAGATAACTCAGAGAAGGAATTCAAAATTCTATCACATGAACTGAACAAAGAGATTGAAATAATTAAAAAGAATAAAGCAGAAATTCTGGATTTGAAAAATACAGTTGATCAAGCAGAAGAAAGAATTAGTGACCTTTAAGATAAACTATTTGTATAGTACTCCATAGTGTAAATATGTCACATTTTTCTTAGTCCAGTCTATCATTGATGGACATTTGGGTTGGTTCCAAGTCTTTGCTATTGTGAATAGTGGCGCAATAAACATACGTGTGCACGTGTCTTGATAGCAGCATGATTTATAATCCTTTGGGTATATACCCAGTAATGGGATGGCTGGGTCAAATGCTATTTCTAGTTCTAGATCCTTGAGGAATCGCCACACTGTCTTCCACAATGGTTGAACTAGTTTACAGTCCCACCAACCATATAAAAGTGTTCCTATTTCTCCACATCCTCTCCAGCACCTGTTGTTTCCTGACTTTTTAATGATCGCCATTCTAACTGGTGTGAGATGGTATCTCATTGTGGTTTTGATTTGCATTTCTCTGATGGCCAGTGATGATGAGCATTTTTTCATATGTCTGTTGGCTGCATAAATGTCTTCTTTTGAGAAGTGTCTGTTCATATCCTTCGTCCACTTTTTGATGGGGTTGTTTGATTTTTTCTTGTAAATTTGTTTAAGTTCTTTGTAGATTCTGGATATTAGCCCTTTGTCAGATGGGTAGATTGCAAAAATTTTCTCCCATTCTGTAGGTTGCCTGTTCACTCTGATGGTAGCTTCTTTTATTGTGCAGAAGCTCTTTAGTTTAATTAGATCCCATTTGTCTATTTTGGCTTTTGTTGCCATTGTTTTTGGTGTTTTAGTCATGAAGTCCTTGCCCATGCCTATGTCCTGAATGGAATCATGTCCTTTGTAGCGACATGGATGAAGCTAGAAACCATCATTCTGAGCAAACTATTGCAAGGACAGAAAACCAAACACCGCATGTTCTCACTCATAGGTGGGAAGTGAACAATGAGAACACTTGGCAACACAGGGTGGGGAACATCACACACTGGGACCTGTTGTGGGGTGGGGGGAGGGGGGAGGGATAGCATTAGGAGAAATACCTAATGTAAATGATGAGTTAATGGGTGCAGCACATTAACATGGCACATGTATACATATGTAACTAACCTGCATGTTGTGCACATGTACCCTAGAACTTAAAATATAATAATAAAAATAGACAAAAAAGACAAACTATTTGAAAATACACACTCAGAGGACATAATAGAAAAAAAAATGAAGCACACCTAGAAGATTTACAGAGTAGCCTCAAAAAAGCAAAGCTAAGAGTTATTGGCCTTAAAAAAATGTAGAGAATGAGATAAGGTTAGAAAGTTTATCCAAAGAGATAATAGCAAAGAATTTCACAAACCTAGAGAATGCTATCAAAATCCAAGTACAAGAAGCTAATAGAACACCAAGCAGATTTAACCCAAAGAGGACTACTTCAAAACATTTAATAGTTAAACTCCCAAAGGTTAAGGATAAAAAAAGTATCCTAAAAGCAGCAAGAGAAGAGAAACAAATAACATACAATGGAGCTCTAAGTCAGACAGTAAGCTAAGTGGAAACCTTATGGGCCAGGAGACAGTGGCATGACATATGTAAACTGCTAAAGAAAAAAAAAAAACTTTTATCCTGGAATAGTATACCTGGTGAAAATATCCTTCAAACATGAGGGAGAAATACAGACTTTCTCAAAGAAACAAAAGCCAAAGGCCTTAAACACTAGATCTGTTCTACAAGAAGTGCTAAAGAGAGTAGTTCAATCAGAAAGAAAAGGACATTAATGAGCAATAAGAAATAAACTGAAAGTACAAACTCACTAGTAACAGTAAATACACAGAAAAAAACCCCACAGAATATTATAAAACTGTAACTGTGGTATATAAACTTCTCTTATATTAAATAGAAAGATTAAAATATGAGCCAACAGAAAATAGTAACTACTACAATTTTTGAAATCAGGCAGTATAATAAGATATAAATAGAAGCAACAAAAGATTAACTATCTGGGGGATGAAGTTAACATGTAGAGTTTTCACTCAGTTTTCTTTTTGCTTGTTTATACAAACAGTGTGAAGTTGTTATAGCTTAAAATAATGGGTTATAAGATATTACTTGCAAGTCTCACGGTAACCTCAAATCAGAAAACATACAACAGATACACAAAAAAATAAAAAGCAAGAAATTAAATCATACCAACAGAGAAAATCACCTTAACCAAAAGGAAGACAGGAAGGAAGGAAAGAGGGATAAGAAGACCACGAAACAACCAAAACCAAATAGGCAGTAGTAAGTCTTTAATTACCAATAATAACATTGAATGTAAATGAACTAAACTCTACAATAAAAAGACACAAAGTGGCTGAATGGATAAAGAAACAAGACTCAATGATCTGTTGCCTACAAGAAAAACACTTTACCTAAAAAGACATATGTAGACTAAAACCAAAGGAATGGAAAAAGATATTCCATCCCAATGGAAACCAAAAAAGTAGGAGTAGTTATAGTTCTAATAGACAAAATAGATTTCAAGACAAAACTATAAGAAGAGACAAAGAAGGTCACTATATAATGATAAAAGGGTCAGTTCTGCAAAAGGATATAACAATTTTAAGTATCTATGGACCCAACACTGGAAAACTCAGATATATAAAGCAAATATTATTAGAGCTAAAGAGTAGCTCTAATAAACCCCAATAGAGTAACAGCTGGAGACTTCAACACCCCACTTTCAGCATTACACAGATCTTCCAGACAGAAAATCAACAAGGAAACATCAGTTAAATCTGCACTATAGAACAAATGAACCTACTAGATATTTACAGAACATTTCATTCAACAGTTGAAGAATACACCTTCTTTTCCTCAGCACATGGATCAATTTCAAGGACAGATCATATGTTAAGTCACAAAATAAGTCTTAAAACATTAAAAAGAACTGAAAAAATATCAAGTGTCTAACCACAATGGAATAAAACTAGAAATTAGTAACAAGGAATTTTGAATACTATATAAATACATGAAATTAAACAATATGTTTCTGAATGATGAGTGAGTCAATAAGGAAATCAAGAAGGAAATTGAAAAATATCTTGTAAAAAAGATAATAAAAATATAACATACCAAAACCTACAGGATACAGCACTGAGAGGAAAGTTTATAGACATAAGAGCTTACATCAAAAAAGAAGAAAAACTTCATATAAACAACCTAACACTGTATCTTAAAGAACTAGAAAACCAAGAGTAAACCAAACTCAAAATTAGAAGAAAAGATGTAATAAAGATCAGAGCAGAGGCCGGGCGCGGTAGCTCATGTCTGTAATCCCAGCACTTTGGGAGGCCGAGGCGGGCAGATCACGAGGTCAGGGGATCGAGACCATCCTGGTGAACACAGTGAAACCGTGTCTCTACTAAAAATACGAAAAATTAGCTGGGTGTGGTGGCGGGTGCATGTAGTCCCAGCTACTCGGGAGGCTGAGGCAGGAGAATGGCACGAACCCAGGAGGTGGAACTTGCAGTGAGCCGAGATCACGCCACTGCACTCCAGCCTGGGCAACAGAGTGAGACTCCGTCTAAAAAAAAAAAAAAGATCAGAGCAGAAATAAATGAAACTGAAATGAAGAAAACAGAATAAAAGATCAATGAAACAAAAAATTGTTTTTTTAAAAGTTAAACAAAATTGACAAACATTTAGCCAGACAAAAAAAAAAAAAAAAGAAAAAAGAACCAAATAAATAGAATCAGAGGTGAAAAAGGAGATATTACAACTGATGCTGTAGATGTTCAAGGGATCAACAGTGGCTACTATGAGCAAACATAATTTCAATAAATTAGGAAATCTGGAAGAAATGTATAAATTCCTAGATATAGCCAACCTACCAAGAGTGAACAAGGAAGAAACCAAAAACCTGAACAGACCAATAACAAACAACAATACCAAAGCTGTAATGTTTCCCAGCAAAGAAAAGTCCAGGACCTGATGGCTTCGCTGCTGATTTCTACCAAACATTTAAAGAAGAAATAATATCAATCTGAATCAAACTATTTAGAAAAATAAAGGAGGAAGGAATCCTTACAAACTCACTCTACAAGGCCAGTATTACCCTTATACCAAAATCAGACAAAGACACATCAAAAAAGGAAATTACAGGCCAATATCATTGATGAATATTGATGCAAAAATCCTCAGCAAAGCACTAGCAGACCAAATTCAACAACACATTAGAAAGATCATTCATCATGGCCAAGTAGGATTTATCCCTGGAATGCAAGGATGATTCAACATATGCAAATCAATAAATGTGATACATCACATCAACAGAATAAAGGACACAAACCATATAATCATTTCCATTGAAGCTGAAAAAGCATTTCACAAAATTCCACATCCCTTCATGGTAAAAACCCTCCAAAAACTGGGGATAGAGGGAACATACCTCAACATAATAAAAACCACATACAACAGACCAACAACTAGTATTATACTGAACTGGGAAAAACTGAAAGCCTTTCCTCTAAGATCTAGAACATGACAAGAATGTCCACTGTCACCACTGTTATTCAACATAGTACTGAAAGTTCTAGCTAGAGCAGTCAGAAAAGAGAAGGATATAAAGAGCATCAAATCGGAAAGGAAGCAGTCAAATTATCCTTGTTTGCAAATGATATAATCTTACATTTGAAAAAACTAAAGACTCCACCAAAAAACTATTAGAACTGATAAACAAATTCAATAAAGTTGTAGCACACAAAATCAACATACAAAAACCATTTTTATAACAGTAAACAATCTGAAAAAGAAATTTAAAAAGTAATCCTATTTACAATAGCTGCAAATAAAATTAAATACCTAGGAATTAATCAAAGAAGTAAATGATCTCTACAATGAAAACTATGAAACACTTTTGAAAGAAATTAAAGAGCACACACACACACAAATGGATAGATATTTCATGTCCGTGTATCGGAAGACTCAATCTTGTTAAAATGTCCATATTACACAAAGCAATCAACAGATTCAGTGCAATCCCTATCAAAATACCAAAGATATTCTTCACAGAAATAGGGAAAACAATCCTGAAATTTACATGACAGCACAGAAACTCAGAATAGCCAAAGTTATCCTAAGCAAAAAGAACAGAACTGGAAGAATCACATTACTGACTTCAAATTATATGACAGAGCTACATAACCAAAACGGCACAGAATAGAGAACCTAGAAATAAACCCACACATCTACAATGAATTCATTTTTGACAAAGTTGCTCAGAAAATACATTGGGGAAAGGACAGTCTCTTCAATAAATGTTGTTGGGAAAACTGATTATCCATATGCAGAAGAACCCTATCTCTCACCATATACAAATATCAAATCAAAATGGATTAAAGACTTAAATCTAAGGTCTCATATTATAAAACCACTACAAGAAAATATTGGGGAAACTTTTAAGGACATTAGCCTGGGCAAAAATTTCTTGAGTAATACCACACAAGCACAGGCAACCAAAGCAAACATGGACAAATGGGATCACATCAAGGTAAAAATCTTCTGCATAGCAAAGGAAACAATGTACAAAGTCAAGCAACAACCCACAGAATGGGAGAAAATATCTGCAAACGACCCATCTGACAAGGGATTAATAACCAGAATCTATAAGGTTCTCAAACAACTCTATAGAAGAAAAATCTAACAATCTTATTAAAAAATGGGAAAACATCTGAATAAACATTTCTCCAAAGATGACATACGAATGACACACAGGTATATGTAAAGGTAATCAATATCACTGATCATCAGAGAAATGCAAATCAAAACTACGAGATATCTTTTCACCCCAGTTAAAATGGCTTTTATCCATGACAGGCAATAACAGATGCTGGCGAGGATGTGGAGAAAAGGGAACCTTCCTACACTGCTGGTGGAAATATAAATTAGTACAACCACTATGGAGAACAGTTTGGAGGCTCCTCAAAAAACTAAAAATAGAGCTACCATATGATCCAGCAATTCCACTATTGAGTATATAAACAAAAGAAAGGACATCAGAATATCAAAGAGATATCTGCACTCAAATGTTTATTGCAGCATTATTTACAATAACCAAGATTTTTTTTTTTTTTGAGATGGAGTTGTCACTCAGGCTGGTGTGCAGTGGTGCAATCATGGCTCAGTAGAACCTCCACCTTATGAATTCCAGTGATTCTCCTGCCTCAGTCTCCTGACTAGCTGGGATTACAGGCACCTGCCACAATGCCTGGCTAATTTTTGTATTTTTAGTAGAGACGAGGTTTCACCATGTTGGCCAGGCTGTTCTCAAACTTCTGACCACCTCAGCCTCCCAAAGTGCTGGGATTACAGGAGTAAAATAGCCAAGATTTGAAAGCAACTTAAGTGTCCATCGACAGATGAATGAATAAATAAAATGTGGTACATATCCACAATGAAGTACTATTCAGCCATAAAAAATAATGAGATACTGTCATTTGCAACAACATGGATGAAACGTGAAGTCACTATGTTAAGTGAAATAAGCCAGGCACAGAAAGACAGACATCGCATGTTCTCACTTAACTGTGGGAGCTAAAAATTAAAACAATTGACTCAGGGAGATAGAGAGTAGAAGGATGGTTACCAGAGGTTGAGAGGGGAAGTTGTGGCAGGGGGTGGGAGAGAAGTGGGGATGGTTAATGGGTACAAAAATAGAAAGTATGAGTAAAACCTAGTATTTGCTAGCATAACAGGGTAACTATAGTAAAACAAAAATAAATTCTACATTTTAAAACAACTAAAAAGGATATAATTATATTGTTTGAAATATAAAGGATAAATGCTTGAGGTGATGGATACCTCCACTTTCCCTGATGTGATTATTACATATTGCATGCATATATCAAAATATCTCATGTAATCCATAAATATAGACCTACCATGTACCCACAAAAATTAAAAATTAAAAAAATGCTAAAGGGTAATTTGTTTCTTAGAATGAATAAAGACATTTTCTCTTTATTTATCAATTCTATTTTTTCATTCATTCAATACTTATTGAGCTTCTACTATGTAGCAGCCCCACTGAACAACAGAGGTATCTTTTTCAAATTATGAAGCTCAAATAAAAAGAAATCAGAAAGCTGTGTATATGTACCAACCAATTTCTTTTTGTGTGAGGGCATGGTGGCTCACCCCTGTAATCCTGGCACTTTGAGAGTCCAAGGAGGGAGGATTGCTTGAGCCCAGCAGTTCGAGACCGGCCTGGGCAACATGATGAAACCCCATCTCTATAAAAATACAAAAATTACGTGGCACACTTGTAATTCCCAGCTATTAGAGGCTAAGGCAGGAGCATTTCTTGAGCCAGGAGGTAGAGGCTGCAGTGAGCCCAGATTGTGCCACTGCACTCCAGTCTGGGCAACAGAGCAAGACTCTGTTTTACAACATACAAAAAGAAAGAAGAATAAATCAATATATCTTATCTGGGCTCCTTCTTCACTGGGATAACTATATTATATAGAATTCCTTTGTAAAACAACCAAAAAACAGTGTAATAATGAACAAATTACCTCTAAAGGGAATTAAGCAAGTCTTGGAATAATGAGTTTTATTTTCCTATTTTACTTATCCCTTTGTCTCTGAATTTTTAGTATTTATTTTACAATTTGGTAAGTCGTAAGTCTGACATGGGTCTCACTAGACTAAAATCAACACATCAGCTGCATTCCTTTTGGAGGCTCTGGGGGGAAATCTATTTTCTTGCCTTTTATTTGCCTTTCCTAGTTTTTAAAGGTTTCCCACATTCCTTGCTCATGGTTCTTTTCTTCCATCTTTAAAGCAAGGGATGAGATCTCACATGGTATCACTCTGACTCTCTCTTCTGACTCCCTCTTTTATTTCTAAAGATGTTTGTGATTACAATAGGCCCACTAGCATAATCCAGATTAATCTCCACATTTTAAGATCAACTGATTAACAGGTTTAATTCCAACTTAATTTGACTTTGCCCTGTAACCTAACATATTCAGTGGTTTCTTTTTTTTTTCTTTTTTTTTCTTTTTTTTTTTATTTTTTATTATACTTTAAGTTTTAGGGTACATGTGCACATTGTGCAGGTTAGTTACATATGTATACATGTGCCATGCTGGTGCGCTGCACCCACTAACTCAAAGAATAAGACATGGGGATCTTTGGGGTGCCATTATTCTCCCTACCACAGTATATTAAGAAAAATATTTAAAGATTTCTAATAATGCACAGCATTGCAGAAGCTACAGTGATGATTTCTCTCCTTTTTTTATTTTTTTAACATCTGCTAGAGTAGTTAAGAAATGTGTACAAAATCATACTATCAAGGCAACAGTCATCCTAAAAGTGCTCCAAGTAAAAATTAGATTAAAAACTACAGAACTGAGAAAACATTTTAGCTCAAAGATTTAAAGGGAAGATGGCCTATGAACCAGGCCTTAGAGCATAGGTAGGATCTGTTAAATAGGCAGAGACGAGTATAGAGGGTGGGGGCTTTGTGCGACTAAATGGAGGGAAAGTAGAAAAGGAAAACATTTAACAAGTACCACTGAGGTAGCATGAGAAGCACTCAACAGAAAGCAGCATGAGCTGAGAACTTCAAGCAAAAAGTGGTCAATGATTCAACTGTGGCATAGATGAAGGAACACAAAGCCAGATAAGTCACTGGAGTTTTAATTAGTGTATCACTGATGATCTTCAAATAAGCATAGTCAAGTGCTGGTAGCAGAAGCTAGACAGCAGCTGTTTCGGAGTGGGCTGGCGTCAAGTGTAAATGACTGTTTTGATAAATTGGTAGTTAAATAAAGTAAAATTTAAAAAAGTTTGAGAGGACAGAAGGTTAAAGCTTTGGTAGTATACAAAGGTAACTGGACAGATAAAGAAAGGTGAGAGTAAAAAATCAGGTCAAAGACACAGGCAGTGCAAATTGTTTAGGTCTACTTTAAAAATTAGTAGAGTCTTTTTCCTCCCCAATCCTAAGTACCTTGGTTTTGAGAGGTATGAATACTATGGACTATAAGGCACAGTTCTTGGGTTATTAATAAACTAGAAAATTCACAACAGAAAGGCACCCCAAAAAGGTCATTTGGTCCAGTATTCTCACCCGTGGAAGGGTTATATGTTAATTGCCCCGATGGCATGTTTGTCATCTTCTCCCCTTTCCCTTCAGACAGAACTAATCTCTCTGTGACCATAAAGCATTTTGTGTGATAGATATCCTTCTCACATAGCACTAACTACATTTGGTCATGATGATCTTCAAATCTATTTCTGATACAAAACTTTAAATCTCCAAGGGCAAGAGAGACCTCATAGCATAGGGGTTGGAACAAAACCATCCAGGGATAGCATAAAGAAGCTTGCTCTTAAAGGCGGAGGAGCAGAAAAGGAGTGATGTAATCACAGCTCACTAATCCCAGGCTTCTGTCCAGAGCTGGCCTTGATTGCACTGCAGTTTGCTTTAATTCAATTTATCCTGTAATCCATTTTTGGGTATATCACTGTTTGCTTAAAATTTCTGAATTGCAAAGTCATATGCAAATTAGTGAATAAATGAGATAATAAATTTAAGCAGATGATGGATTAATCCTAAATAAAGCTTTTAAATCACTTTGGCTGACATTAAACAGTTTGCTGAACCAAGTATTCTAAATGGCACTGTTTCTGACAAGATTATCTAATAACTATAACCTCTATATAACCCTTTTGTTTAAAATACTTTTTATAGAATCAATTAGGAATTATATAAATACCACCCACATCCTTAAAACAGAGACATGAATAGATGAAGAATCAATCTTAAAGTTATTAAAAGAT
Organism: Homo sapiens; assembly: GCF_000001405.40. NCBI lineage: Eukaryota > Metazoa > Chordata > Mammalia > Primates > Hominidae > Homo > Homo sapiens. The sequence continues at coordinate 174,480,104 of NC_000001.11, read as the reverse complement.
ATAATTTTTAAAAATTCACTGAGTGACATACTTTTAGAATTTAACTTCTGTCTTAAATGAAAATGACAAACAACTCACTAGTTATCCGAATTCCCTTCAACAAAAAACATGAGAACCAACTCTGTATTTTATATGTGGAACAGGCTATTCTTGTGACAGTTAGTAAATACAATAGCAAGTAATATTAAAGATATAGATGTTTCTGAGAGAGAGAGAGTAAATATCCTAGTCAGAATCCAAGAGTAGAATCAATACTGACCATCCATTCAACATTTAATATACCTACTCATCTACTATTTCTAACCAATTATCCAATTAAGACTCCTCTAGGGTTAATTAGGGAGTGAATGAGCTATGGTCTTCACCATTGGTATATTACAATAAATTAATACACCTAGTAAATTATATTGCCTGAAGCAACGGAATAGAAAAGAAAAGCATGCAAATTTATACTACTGCTTCCCCATTAACCAAATACTACACTGGCATTCAAAGCAATCTCCTTTCAGATGGGCTTTTCACTGTATCCTTGCTTGGCTTTAACAAGCTGTCATTCCAGAAGGGACCATGAATTTCTATAGCAATTCCAAACTTTAAAGTATCAGTTTCTCAAATTGTGGTGTTAGTCCATATGCATCAAAATCTGAGGAGTTTTCAAAAGTGCAAATTCCTGGGTCCCAAAGTCCCACCAAAATAGACTCTGATGAGTGGAGCCCAAGCGTGTAAATTTAGAGCCAACATTCTCCCAAGTGATTCTCATGCATGCTAAAGTTTGAGAACCACTGCCTAAGAACAAGTTAGACCTGTAACACTGGGCAAATGCATTAGGAAGCACTAGACATATAGATGTAACCCATACTTTCTCCTTAAGGTATGGTACCTAGACCAGGAGCAGTGGCATCACAAGGGAGCTTGTTAGAAATGCAGGACCTCAGGCCCATGCCAACCCTGCTTAATCAGAACTTACATTTTAGCAAGATCCCCAAGTGATTGGTATTTGCATTAAAGCCTTAGACACATTGTTCAACAGCAGTTATTCTTGGATGCAGGTGTTTCTGGAGTATGATTTTACATCGGTCAAACAGCAAAGCATATTTAAGGATATTGTGGCAAACATGTGAAACACACTTTATAGTAAAATAAGCAATCGAAGCCAAGGCCCTGTTGAAATGCAGACAGAAGATTCCAAATATCTTTTGGAAACTTAAAAACACTCAGGCCAGTATCATTTCCATTCTACTCTTTCCAGTATTATATTAATGATAATGATGGAAGATGGAAGTTACTCAGAATACAATTGAGAAGACACAAAAGTTGAAAAAGGTTTCATAGGTAGCAACGGTTTGTAAGTTGTATTGGTCTCTAATTTAAGAAGGACTTAAGATATAAATAATAACAAAGAACTTATTCATTTATAAATTCAACACATTCAAAAAGTTACATTTTCCCCATGTATGAATGCATTTGAGGTTGGGATATAGTTTCGTATTTAATAAAAAGACTTCCTGAAAAGAATTTGAAAACCAAGGCTGAATGTGGTGCCTGGTTTTTAAATAATCCCAGCACTCTGGGAGGCCAAGCCAGAGGATCAGTTGAGGCCAGGAGTTCAAGATTAGCCTGGGCAACACAGTGAGACACCATCTCTTAAAAAAAAATTTTTTTTTTAATTAGCCAGGCATAGCAGTGTGCACCTATAGTACTAGCTACTAAGGAGACTAAGGCAGGAAGATTGCTTGAGCCCAGGAGTTCAAGGTTACAGTGAGCTATGACTGCACTACTGCACTCTAGCCTGGGCAACAGACTGAGATCCTGTCTCAACCACACACACACACCTCCGAAAAACAAATAACAACAACAACAAAAACAGGAAAAAAAAGTTAAGAGATAGTCCCCTTGAATTTCTTTGAAATAAGGTGGGGTAAAAATCAATCACAGAGGGGACTAAAGTTCAAAAAGATATACTTGAAAACTAGACGGGGAAAATAGAAGGTAATATGCATATACTAGATAAATATTATTCTTTGACAAAATATGCTGCCTCATAAATACTTTATGTACATAGTACAAACTTATTTTTTAACCACAGAATCATATTAAAGTAATTATAAAACTTATTACTAGTTTATGACATTATTACCACTCACCTATGAGAATCCTATCTATATTAGCAGCCTATTTATAAAATATACCATGCAGGTTTTATATAAATACTTGAAAAAAATCTCTAAATGACTGATCTCTAAATGCTAATTTAAGCACTAATTGATCTCAAAGCACTTACTGGAGATCTTCTTAATGTAGATACAGTAAAAACTTATTTTGTATAGAGTCAAATACAAAATAAATGTCAATATCCTCTTAAATAAATATAATTTTACCATTTCACACATTATATAAGGGTTCCTATTGCACACTACAATGTTGTCTGATTACATTAGTTTTAAACATAAAATAGTTATCACAGCTTATGACAATGCTGTCAGAAAAAAGATGTCCAGATGTCCAGTACTTCTCCCCCATGAGAACCTTGACTTTGAAAACAATGCTATAGAAAGCAAATACCAGAAAATTATGTGAAATAGCCATCATCTATTTGTTGACTTTGAATCAACACTAAATTGAAAATTTTCTCTACTTCCTTTCCTACTTTCTACACTAGAAATAAGATAAAAATTCAATGCTTACTTGATTGCTCAGAAGTCCTAAATGTTAAACATTGATGATTACTATATATGAACATCATAACAGTAGCCACAACCAAGAAGAGAACAACTCCAAGATGCTAAGAAGCACAGTGAAGGTTATTTGCTTATGAAAAGCATAATTTTAGCTTGCAATGCTATTTGTTCACATACTTTAGTTGTCTGGCTGCCATTTAAACATATAGATTAGCTAAGGAGATTTATGACAGCAGCCTATCCAGTATTAACTTTCAGCATTTTATCTGGTACCCAAATAATATTTAATTATAATAACCTGGCTGAGATTACATGCATAACTTTGATATCTCAGCACACCCAGTTCTGCTCCTGGGACTATGGTACACAAGCAGTATCACCCTTAGGTCTAAGAAAGAGGGGACCCTGCCACAAACCCTATGTTTCAGAGGGCCCCAGCTGTCACAAATAACCCAAATTAAATTTAATGAAGAACACATGAACGTCTTCTGCCACTAGGATCTGGCCCTCAGACTGACACTGTATGATCTGTAACCTTGAACATCTACTCTCACAAATAACATCTTCAAGCCCCAAGGAAATGCTTCTGCACATCTCTTGCCCTATGTCCTCAAAATAAAAGGGGATCATGTGTCAGAATTCTCTCAAGGTTTGGTTTGTGCTGCTGCTGAAGACAGAGATAGATACCGCTTTGGAACTTCTGGAGGATTTGAGTGATGAAATCACTTAGGTAAGAGAAAAGACTAATTAACTTGTCAAATCCTTCCTCTCAAATATCAAGTATGCAATAAAGCACTGCTTAACCAAGTATCATTTCCCAATAGTGCCAAATGTCCATTTCCTTACTTCATGTTTTAATTTGTTGTTGTGGAGGTACTCACAAATTAACATAGTATTTGAAAGAGTTACATATAGTGGCTGAATAACATAATATTAAAGAATTCATAAATCTCTTGTGTTTTGTCTTTTACTTTAATAGATAATTTTGCATAAATTAGGAAAAAAACTGAAATTATAGTGTAAAAGTTTTTACAATTGCTTTACTTATATTTTTGTAAAAACATATTCAAATTTGAATGAAATATCTTAGATATTCAGCTGGCCAGTAAATTGCTCCAAAACTTACTATTAAAATCTTATTAACAAAATTAATACAATTAAAATAAAAATAGCATAGGCAACATTAATTTTTCAGAGCATTTGATAGTTTTACATTTAAACTCAGAATGCTAAAGGTTAGAAAATTGTCATAGGTAAGATCTTCTCTTACATAGAGGACTGAGAACTTTGTTGAAAAGTTATTTTTATAAAGTATCATGAATGCATGGAAAAAGTAAGAATTAACTCTCACCTTTCCAAGGTCACTCCGCTAACCTTTGTTGGAGCCAAACCCAGAATTCACATCTCCTGACTCCCACCCTATTGTTCTTTCAACTTCAACTTAGAAAGATTTACAATCTTTCTAAATAATAAGTTATAATGTTATATACTGGTATAATGTTAATTATACATATATAATGTTCTAATAAGTTATAATGTTCATCTAACATTGCGAATTTAGGTTTATACTTTCAATTACTGGCCTGTAGATAATTATACAGCAGAAGCAAATGGCCAAAGATCTGACCTTTTTTTTTTTTTTTTTTTTTTTTTTAAGACACGGGGTCTCAGTCTGTCACTCAGGCTGGAATGCAGTAGCACAATCATAACTCACTGCAGCCTTGAACTTCTGGGCTCAAGTGATCTTCCCACCTCAGCCTCCCAGAGCTGGGATTGTATGTGTGAACCACCATTCCTGGCTTGATCTGCCTTAATATGCCATAAATCCTTGCTTGGCATCCTTTCAAATTCAATAAACCTATTTACCTACAAAAGTAGATAAGATCATCATGTCTACCTTAATTGTTTGCCCCTAATATTTGGATATACAGCACTACAAAATATTTTTAAAAATATTGTGTCCCTGGCATTGTAACAAAAAAGTTTTCAAAACAAAGCACTGGATGAGTCCACAATATTATTGTTAACTACCTTAAAAACAGTCACAATATCTGAGAAGATATAAAATAACTGCCAAAGACAGTCCAACCAATCATTCAACGTATGTTAAAAGAAAAAAAAGCATAACAAGGGAATCTTGAATACTCCAGTGCCTGCTACACCAAGTGTGCTCTGTAGACTACAGCATCAGCAGCACCTAGGAGTTTATCAGAAATGAAGAACTGCAGGTCCTAACTCAGACCTACTAAACCCGAAAGTGCAATTGAACAGGCTCCCAAGGTGATCTTTACTCATGTTAAAATTTAAACACCACTAGTAGGTTCATCACACCTGCTTGTATATGACATCAGCTATCATTTAAATATTTATTAATAAATGATATTTATTAATATTTAAATATTTATTGTAACATACATTACATTTAATACAATCATACATTAAAACACATAATATGTCATTTCTTTATTTATCATAAGGCAGATATTACTTTCCCTGCTTTATAGATGACAGAAATAAGAATCAGAAGGCCAGGCGCAGTGGCTCACGCCTGTAATCCCACCACTTTAGGAGGCAGAGGCGGGTGGATCACAGGGTCAAGAGATCGAGACCATCCTGGCCAACATGGTAAAACCCTGTCTCTACTAAAAATACAAAAATTAGCTGGGCGTGGTGACGCACGCCTGTAGTCCCAGCTACTCGGGAGGCTGAGGCAGGAGAATCACTGGAACCCAGGAGGAGGAGGTTGCAGTGAGCTAAAATCGTGCCACTGCACTCCAGCCTGGCGACAGAGCAAGACTCCATCTCACAATAATAATAATAATAATAATAATCATCATCATCATCAGAGAGGTTCGATATTATGACCATGGTCAACAGGTAATAAGTGGTAGATCCTGGAGACAAATTCACATTATTTCAGTTATACACTGCTTCTTTACATACTGGCCTCATAAAAGAAAGAGCAGAGCACTCTTACTAGCTGACATCAGGAACATTTTGAGAGGTAGTAAGAAGGAAGTAAAGCTACAGTTATCATGACATTTTCTATGGAATTCTCTTTGGTTAACCAAAATACTCCTATTATTCTGGGTTTTATGTTGGGGAGTAGGCAATAAAGATTTTTAAAAAGCTGACAATGTAGTTGAAGAAATAAACAATCTCAGAAATTAACAGAGAACCATTCGAAATTAAGACATCAAGAATGCAAAATGATACTACAAATTGAATAAATAATTTCCATGGAAAGTATTGAATAAATTTATTCATTTTAATGCAGTATTTATTAACTACCTACTATATACTAGGATTACATTAAGCACTGAGGATCTAAAATTAATTTTAAAAAATAGACTGAGGTTAGGGACTCTGAGGGAGACAACACAAACATTTATGTATAAAACAAAATGATAAGCACTATGTTTATATAAAACGTTACAGGAACAGCTACAGGAGAAAATGGGGTTAGTCAAAGAAGTTCTAGAAAAGGGTTTGTAAGGACTTGAAAGAACTAACTGATATAGATTAATTTCCTGATCATTCATTTTCTCATCTCTACTACAACGGAGTTAGAGGGGAGAAGCAATCTCCAAGAACTTTTAAGATTCTCTGCAGGAGCTTTAGGGGCGAATGATTGCAGGACTCCTCAGCCTGCTTCAGCTCAACCTGCTCAGCAGCTCAGCTTTTACATGTTTTACATATGTGGATTCTAAACAAGATGTGGTTGGCATTAAAATAAAGTTTGAGAACTTTTAAAGTTTAACATAATGTAATTATATGTGTCAAATTATGCTTACCTCAAACCATACCTAGGAATTTGTGGTCTGCCCCCAAAACTATCTTTCTATTAACTAGCAAGAGAAACCTCTAAGGTAACATCCTAAGGAAAGAAAGGGCCACACGTGGTACAGGAAAGGAAAACACTGTCAGGGCATCCTGTTTTCTGGAAGCTCCTGAACCTATGCTATTTCTGCTTCCCACTTCCAACTGAGACTCATCTAGTGCTCTGGGCAGTAGATGCTATACCAAAATCAAGAAAATAAGATGCTTTAAAAATCTCTTTGAACCTGAAGTACAAAGTAGGAAAGCTTTGGGATTGTGCACCTGACACATGAGGAATTCTGCACACCAGCAAGGTTTACAGAGATCCTATGTCATCAAGAGATGGTGCCTTCAGCAAAGGCATCTTACCTCTTTGAGCTCTCTAGGTATTTATTACTAAAGATACTGTGTATATAACTCTTACTCTACAGGAGAATATAACCTAAAATTATGTTCCATGGCTGACTTTAAACGCATGGCAACATTTCACTGTATTCAGAGTTGTTTTTCTCTTCCTAACACTTCTCAAAAATATCCTTTTGTGTGGCCAACTGAAGACAATAATTAGGGTTAAAATTTGTTTCTATTATGCACAAACTTCAGTAAGAAAAACAGAGTGACATATATTTAATGTTCCCTTTCTAGTTTAAAATATTACTGTGCAAAAAACAGTTAATACTGCAGGTCTGAGACTGCTATTCTTAGAATGAAATGCTTGAAAGGCTGGCCCTTTGCTGGCAACTGGAAACTTGAATTTCAGCAGTTGCCATTATTCCCTGATAAATGTGGTTTATTGTACCTAAACTGTTATATGAACAATGTGATGCATGTTAAACTCCTTCTGAGAGTCTGAAATTTGGGTATATTCTAGGCAAAGGGTGCCTATGTGATGGGCTCTTGATAAAAACCCTGAACTCCTAGGCTCAGGCAAGCTTCTCTGGCACATAACACTTTACCATACTTTCACAACTTGATACTTGAGTAATTAAGCTCATCCTGTGCAACTTAACTGGGAGAAGATTCGGAAGTATGTGCCTGGTTTCCTCCAGACTTTGCCCCATGTGCCTTTTCCCTTTACTGATTTTGCTTTGTATCTTTTCACCGTAATAAATATAGCAATGAGGACTATATGCTGAGTCCTGTTAGTCCTAGCAAATCACCAAACCTGGGGGCCTGGAAGGCAGAACCCTCAACAAAATTGGACTTAAAAAATTTTCCCCACTTTGGGAAATACAGATAATATACATCATCCTTTGTCCCCACATGCTGTCAGCCACTAGGTCCCATGGACCCTTCTCTTATACCACTTTCTTTCCTTTCCCACCATACCTGTCTCATTGCTGTCTTTCCTGATGCCACACTCCTTACCACCTCAAGCTTAGATTATGACAGTGTTCTCTGTCTCTGTCTCAGTCTCAGTCTGCCCTGGCTGCAAGAAAAACATACAGCTGGGTGTCTTAAACAACAGAAATTTACTTCTCACAGTTTTAGAAGCTGGAAAGTCCAAGATCAAGGTGCTGGCTGATTCCATTCCTGGTGAGGACTCTTCCTGGCTTGCAGACGGCCACTTTCTCTAGCATGGTGGCTTATACACAGCATGCATTACACACTTCTCCATTGTGTCTTCACATTGTAGAGAGAGCTCTGATGTCTCTTCCTCTTCGTATAATGGAATCAGCCCTATCCAATTAGGGCCCCACACTTATGACCCCATCTAACCTTTATCACCTCCTCACAGACCCTGTTTTCAAATATAGTCATATTGGGGATTATGGGTTCAATATATGAACGCCAGGAGAGGGGGACACACATGCATTCAGTCCATAACAGTCTCCTATCTGGTCTGACTCCTGAAATAAATTCTGCACGCTGCAGCCAGATTAAGTAAGATTCCTAAGAGAATGCAATCATTATGAGTTTCTACTGTTTCAAAATCCACCAAGGAGGGGCCTCCAACACCTATAGTATATAGAACAACTACTTCAGAGCCAATAGCTAACACCTGAATGTGGTTTGCTTGAAGGTGAAAAAATTAGAGCTATTTGTGACAGTATTTAGCTCCGATTTGGATATGTTCAATTCCTTTGAAAAAGATTTCCTAATATTAAATTCTGATAAATACTGACTTTTCTAAGATTTTGCTTAATGTGGCAAAATTTCTAATATATGAAGAGACTATTACCTTCCTAAATAAATTACTAACAGGTATACTGGGTATTCAAAAGCAAGTTGAACAGTTTTACTTTCCCTGTTGAAGGGGATGAACATTGTCTTAATACCATCATTGTATCACCAGCCTGAGTCACATCATAGGCTTGAATTAGAAAGAAATATTAATTCTTCAAAACAACTAATATACCACCAATGCAATAATCACATTCGATCAAAAGGGAGGTTCAATAAGAAGATGGGTAAGTAATAAGTATGACTGAACTCAAACACAAAAACATACACGAATATAGAAATAGAAATCATAGTAAATCCTTCCCAAAGAAGTCCATGCAAAGTAGCTGAACTGCCCTTGTATTGAAACATAATCAATATCAGTAAATCAAAGTGTGTTTTTTTTTCCTAAATACCTGCTATGTATAAGCCACCATGCTAGTTAGTTACCCCAGGGGATACAAAAAAGCTTAATATGTAATGTCAGTACTCTTAATTCTTGACTGAGAAAATGAAACAAACACAGAGGCAAAATCCAACTTCTGAGGCTAGTTAATTTGGCTAGGGCAAAATGCCAGGCAAGTCATGGATTTAATTTATGTAAAAATTAATTGGTATGGTCTGTTCTCTAACTAAACACTGTATTTTAGTTTTTATTTTGATTTTTTTTTTCCAGTCAGACAAAGTCTTGCTCTGTCCACCCAGGCTGGAGTGCAATGCCGCCATCTTGGCTCACTGTAACCTCCATCTCCCAGGTTCAAGCTATTCTCCTGCCTCAGCCTCCCAAGTAGCTGGGACTACAGGCATCCACCACTACATCCAGCTAATTTTTGTACTTTTAGTAGAGACGGGGTTTCACCATGTTGGCCAGGCTGGTCTCGAACTCCTGACCTCAGGTGATCCACCTGTCTCAGCTTTCCAAAGTGCTAGGATTACAGGCCTGAGCCACTATGCCAGGCCAAAACACTGCATTTTAGAATGCCCCTGAATTCAAGGAAGGCCAGAGATTACAACATGGATGCATGAATAAAAACTCATCATTACTTCTGGAAATTTAATTCAGTATCATCACCTTTGTATACAAAAGGTAGCATTACCACTTCTCTGATACAAACAAATTTACATAGAATGTACATATGTAAAATTACATTTTTTCTAAACTGGCTTTTGAGGGGCTAGAAAGTAAGAGTTCCTGATTTAAACCCTGAAATTCAAAATCAGTTTATAGCTAATGATAGAGAAGTGAGAAAAAGATGGATCAATACATGGAATGATATCTATTCTGCGAGATGGGGAGATGCATTTGGAACCCTGCAAAATGCAGTAGTAGCCCTGTGCAAGTGGTAAAATAATTCAAGATGGGTCATGGCTGTAGAGAGGATTTGATCATATGGTCAAGATCTCATATACAAGGAATTTTTAGGCTGAAATTCTCATAGTACCAGAGAAAGCTCTGCTCTTGTAGACCTGAAAAAAGTAGAACTTTTTTTTTTTCCTCCAGTCAGCTCAGCTCTACAGTGCCTAGTTCCCCACGAGGCTTTAAAGGGTAAAGCATTTTTGGCAGTGACAATCCCCAGTGAAGGCAGCTGAGACATTTCCTGGGATGTTGTCAGGAACTGGAACTGAGTGCCATTTTGTCTGCTTTCAATATTGGTCTAGTGAGCAATTTTGATGTTCTTGTTTTGTTCCAGTCCAACAGCTTTTGGAAATAATGCACCTTTGGTTGTAATTCAAACTGACACAATCAGTGTCTTAAGACTGACTACTCTGGAACTTAAATGGGCAGAGAGCTTATAGTGAGGGATTTTTTTCTGTAGAGCTTCCAGGATGGAACCCCTCCTAAGGGCAAAGACACTTCCAGGAAAGTTTCATACTATGATTCTCAAACTTCTGATTGCAGAGAAATCATCTGCAGAGCTTGTCACAAATTCAGAGACTCACATTGTAGATATTCTGATTTAGGAGGACTAAGGTAGTTGCTGAAAATCTGTAATTTTAATAAGCATTACCAGTGAATCTGATGTAAACTGTCCACGTTTATACTTCTGAGAAATGTTGGATTAGTGGCTTAAAGGATTAATTAACATCAGAGAAAATACCTGATTTACTAGAAAGTAGTGGCCTTGTTATCAGAAAGATACAGACAATAATATGAAACTTTCTGATATTTGATAACCAAAATAATTTCCCTTGTCAGCAATATATTCATATACAATTATATATAAGCACAAAGATTTAAACTTATTACCTGGGACTACAAATCAAAGCAACACTTACCTAACCCTTAGCAATTGATAAGACAAAATACAGTAACAGCTGCACTTTTCTATTAATAGATAAAAAGACATGAACATAAATACACATAAGCATATACTTAACACAAATATAAACGTTCTGTTCTTAACTTTTGTATAAAACATTTTGCTAATGGCATCTAGAAATTCAGAGCAGGAAAAACATAAACCCCCAGAAATATTCAAGCAAAACTCTGAAATGATTAGCAGTGTAATCTACTCAAAAGCAAAAATATTCCCCTCATTTTTAGTATAACACTTATCTGCAAAGCCAACACAGTCTGCCCCCAAATATTTACTGAACATCTACCACGTATGGCATCCTGCACTAGGTGGTAGAAACACAGTGGGGAAAGTGACAAAGTCCCTGCCCCATGGAACTTACTGTTCTAAGCAGAAGAAACTGGAATGATTTTACAGAGAGAGAGAGAGAGAAAGAGGTAGATATAGATGTAGTGTCTATGATTTCTTCTCTGGGTTTAAACTTTTTTATCTTTAGGGATATAATGCTCAATATTAGTTTAAGAAATTAACTACTATTTGAAATTCACTGTTTCATACTACACAAAAATATCTGCCCACGCTGTCATATGGAAAGTGTTTAATTTTACTTATCAATAACATTTAAATTTGAAGTGCATAATAACTATAATTTATACTACAACACCAGCACAATCACAAAACCAAGGTAGAATGTGAATCCATTATTGAACAATGATCAGGATGAATTATTATAATAAAGCAGAATTACTTAATATGAAATCAGCCTATGTGTATACACGTCTTGCAAGCAAAACTCTCTTCTAGTATTTCAGTATAAGCCATAACAATCCCTCTATTATAAATTAGAGTACTAGGGCATCACTTACATGTGGAAGAATTCTGAAATCTCTATTTGTTTATCCTAATGGTTACACACAAATGTTTGTGTAACCATTAGACTATACAATATAAAAGAAACTGTTAAAATACAGTGGTATAAAGAAGTAAATAAGGTAAATAAATAAGTAAACAAAAGCAATAATTTATCTTAAGTCTCAAAATATTACAGATACAGCAATAATAAAATTAATTCTTTATAATATAATCCCATATATAATTGCTATGTGACCAGAAAACAAAACTTATAATCAAGAAGGTTTCTTTCAACCCTAAGATTTCACGATTTTATAATATTTCTAAAATGCTAACGTTTTCCTATTGAGGGAAATTTGCCAAGTTTACTCATGGATCCTCATCAATTCTCTGACTCTAGAAATATCTTCTATAGCAAAAAAGCCTTTATTAGCTTCTCTTTATATAGTTTCAGTTTAATATACATGTCAGTATAACGTTAACTGCCAAATAGTAGGGGAGGTAGCATATATTAGGTAGAAAGGATATGGTTTTGGTGTCAGACAAAGCTGGATTCAAATTCTATAGATTCCGCCACTTAGTAGAAGTGTGATAACCAAGATACTTAAATACTGATGCTCAATTTTCTCACCTATGAAAAGGAGTTGCTAAAAGGATTAAACATATTATATAACATGAATATATATTTACAGTACTTGTCATACAGTAGCTCTGTTATTTAGTATTTATTAGTGGTTACTTTTACATTTATTTAGTAGAAACGTTATTTCTCTTCCCTGGTATAGATAATTTTACTCTTTGTCTAACAAAGACCTGAGAATCATGGCTAAGTGAAATACCCAGGCAATTCTCAACTTTATTTTCAGCCTCTCATACCCATGTCTTTTTTTTTTTTAACTAGGCTCAAACAAAGAAATATCAAAGTAGCTACTAGAAGATCTGGTAGTATTATTAATCTTTGAGAAACTGTAGACCCCTGAAAAGATGATAAATGACTACAGAGAAGACAAATTTTAAGCTTTCAATAAGAACATATGGATTTCAGAGATGGTAACATTGATGCTTCATCTAGTAAAATTCTAGACAGATGGCATATAAGATGTAAAAAATAAAGATGTTTTTACTGTGTCCATCCCTAAGAATAAATGGCAGAAAACTAGCTGTGTATATATTTGTGTGTGTGCACATGCATTTAAAGGGTTTTTAGATCTGGAAAGCCCAAAATAGACTATATTTAATTTCTGTGGGCCAGGAACAACAATGACTACAGCTGCTACTGCTAACATTTATTGGACTTTTCTATATGCCAGACATTGTGAGGGATGATTTATATATCATTATTTCACATATCCCTATAAAGCCAATACAATTATTAGGAAACCAACGGTCAGAGGGGTTAGGTAACATGCCCAGTATTACACAGGTAACAAGTGATGAATAAAAAATTTCAGTTTGACTCTAGAGGGCAGGCTAAACCATTATGCTTCACTCTCTCTTTTTTCGGGGGCGGGGATAAAGTCTCGCTCTCTCGCCCAGACTAGAGTGCAGTGGCGTGATCTTGGCTCATTGTAGCCTCCGCCTTCCAGATTAAAGCAATTCTCCTACCTCAGCCTCCTGAGTAGCTGGGATTACAAGGGTGTGCCACCACGCCTGGCTAGTTTTTGTATTTTTAGTAGAGACAGGGTTTCACCATGTTGCCCAGGCTGGTCTCAAACTCCTGACCTCAAGTGATCCACCCGCCTCAGCCTCCCAAAGTGCTGGGATTACAGGCGTGAGCCACCATGCCCAGCCTATGCTTCACTGTCTTTAGCAAACATTTTATAAAATATTTGAAACAAAAGGGGAAAAAATGGGAACTAGATATTAACAGGTTCAGGTACAGTTTGAGGTAGACCTATGGCCTTACTCAAAATGTGCTAATTAAATAAAGAAAAATCAATTTAGAAGAAAGCTTTTTACTAAGTTTTGCCTAGGTACTCTTCTGTATACATCATTTTTGCTAACTTTAAAGACAACAAGGAACATAAGCTTTCTAAATCTATTAAAAACATTAGAAAAAGATCACATTAAAGTAGAAGGAAGTGCTGAGTAAGTAAGGAATAACTGCAAAGCCCTGCAACTATGTTCAATAAACTGATTTTCCAAGTTCCAAACAGGTGAGATCTAGACCTAAATAAGTTCACTACAAAGCTAAGGTGACCTGTTGTTGGAACAGCTGATTACATGTGGAGCTGCACTAAGGGAAGCACATTGTCCAAATATGGCAACTACTCATCCCACTGTAAGAAGAGCACACTGAGCAAGAGAATACTGCGGCTAACGATAACTGCAAAAGGTCTAAATTTTTGTGTCTCCTTCTTTAATAGTTCCCTCACTGATGTAGTTCAGACAGCTTCATCTCCCACATAACTAAGAAGCTCCATACTTCCCTATGTACACAGAGGACATTAGCAGATCAGAAGTCTTTCACCATAAGATCATATGTTAAAAGTGCCAAGTCCATGCATGTTGTTGTGGTGGAAGGCAACCAAAATGATGAGATATTTGTAAACCAAAGTTCATGGAGAAGCTGCCTCCCATCTCTATCACTTCTCCATCCTGATGTCCTGTTCTATTCTTTTCATGGCATTAATCATAATCTGAAATTATCTTATTTTTTTTTACTTGCTGGCATCTTAATATAGAATACTTTTTATCTCTATTTGGATGTAAGCTCTATGAGAAAAGAGTTTATCATTCCTGTTCACCAGATTCCAAATACCTAAACAATGACTTGCACACAAAAGACGCTCAATAGGCCGGGCATGGTGGCTCATGCCTGTAATCCCAGCACTTTGGGAGGCCGAAGTGGGTGGATCGCCTGAGGTCAGCAGTTCGAAACCAGCCTGGCCAATGTGGTGAAACCCAGAGCCTACTAAAAGTACAAAAATTAGCCGGGCATGGTGGCACACACCAGTAGTCCCAGCTACTCTGGAGGCTGAGGCAGGAGAATTGCTCAAACCCGGGAGGCGGAGGTCACAGTGAGCTGAGATCACACCATTGCACTCCAGCCTGGGTGACAGAGCGAGACTCCGCCTCAAAAAAAATGCTCAATAAATATTCGCTGAATGAATGAATTAGCAATGTGTTAAAGAAATAAAGATGTTTAATCTGAGAAGAGAAGGCAGATATAACAGTAGTTTTCATGTGCCAGAAAAGCTACATCATAAAGGGAGACTTATTTCTGTGTTTCCACAGAGATATGACATGGGATCAAATGGTGGACATTTGATCCTATGTCAATAGGATCAATAGGAAGATTTTGGGGCTCATTAATTAGGAAGTATTTTCTAAGTCACAGAACTTTATAATAATTGAAGAGACTACCTTGCTAGTTATGAAAGGAATTTTAGCCATGGTAGGAGGCTGTATCCATAAGTTATCAGTTAACCTAAAGTTCCTATCATTCAAAGCACATAGAGAATATAATAAAACTATACATAAAGATTCAAAAAAAGAAGGTAATCTTTCTATGGAAGAAGCAAAAAAAAAAGTGATCTGGTTACCCAGAGAAAGAATCTTAAAAGACAGTGAAGAATGAAGTGTATAAACTGGATTCTAAATGAAAGAGTGATTAAGGTAGAAGAAAAAAAATCCAGGTAGTCTTTTTTTCAATTAACATTTATTAAACAGACAGGGCTATAAAGTGGAAATATAAGAAGGCAGTGGTACTAATGACATTAACAAAACAACAACAAAAAAAGAGATGAGCAGTGTAAGGAATAAGAAATGGTAATAATGATTTTCCTTTGAAATTGTTCAGGTTTCAATTTTTATGAAAACCCCAGAATAAGAAGGCTCATTGAAGGCAGCATAGTATATGCTCCTGGAGAAAAGGTACAAGGCCAG
Source organism: Homo sapiens (assembly GCF_000001405.40). Taxonomy (NCBI): domain Eukaryota; kingdom Metazoa; phylum Chordata; class Mammalia; order Primates; family Hominidae; genus Homo; species Homo sapiens. The sequence continues at coordinate 174,464,407 of NC_000001.11, read as the reverse complement.
ATTTGAAGAGTTCTATTTTGGAATACTTGGCAAAAGGATGATAGTTTAATTCCTGAGAGTAGATGGGCTTTCTGTGAAAGTAGTTAAAGAGAACAATTAATTAAGGATGGGGAAAGCATCACAAATTATAACTTTGTAAGGATTACTTTGAAAAGTCATCCATTCATTCATTTGTCCTTGGGCAGAACTGCAATAAACCCCAAAGGTTTACTATCTTTCATTTCACAAATCTCCACTAAAAGGCATTCTTGAAAATCTCTCTGCAAGATATGTCCCAAATGCTAAAGGTATCTGTATTAAAATATTTCCATATTTTAAGTGTAGTTATGGAACACAAATGGTAACATTTCTCATAGTAAATGCTATCAAATAATCATATATTAAATTATACTTTGGTTCCTAAATGGGTAAACAGAAAGCCTTTAAAAAATTTGTAATCCAATATGTAGTATAAGCTTAGAAAATAAATTATTCTCATCTGAAAAATCCAAATATCTGGATTATATCAAATTAGATGTTATAAAATAAGCACTTACAGTATATAAGTGTTCCCTTTTCTCTGCAACCTCACCAACATCTGTTATTATTATTATTTTTTTTACTTTTTAGTAATAGCCACTCTGACTGGTGTGAGATGGTATCTCATTGTGGTTTTGATTTGCACTTCTCTAATGCTAAGTGATGTTGAGTTATTTTTTTCATATCTTTGTTGGCCACACATATGTCTTCTTTTTTATTTTATTATTATTATACTTTAAGTTTTAGGGTACATGTGCACAATGTACAGGTTAGTTACATATGTATACATGTGCCATGTTGGTGTGCTGCACCCATTAACTCGTCATTTAGCATTAGGTATATCTCCTAATGCTATCCCTTCCCCCTCCCCCACCCCACAACAGTCCCCAGAGTGTGATGTTCCCCTTCCTGTGTCCATGTGATCTCATTGTTCGATTCCCACCTATGAGTGAGAACATGCGGTGTTTGGTTTTTTGTTTTTGCGATAGTTTACTGAGAATGATGATTTCCAATTTCATCCATGTCCCTATAAAGGACATGAACTCATCATTTTTTATGGCTGCATAGTATTCCATGGTGTATATGTGCCACATTTTCTTAATCCAGTCTATCATTGTTGGACATTTGGGTTAGTTCCAAGTCTTTGCTATTGTGAATAGTGCCGCAATAAACATACGTGTGCACGTGTCTTTATAGCAGCATGATTTATAGTCCTTTGGGTATATACCCAGTAATGGGATGGCTGGGTCAAATGGTATTTCTAGTTCTAGATCCCTGAGGAATCGCCACACTGACTTCCACAATGGTTGAACTAGTTTACAGTCCCACCAACAGTGTAAAAGTGTTCCTGTTTCTCCATATCCTCTCCAGCACCTATTGTTTCCTGACTTTTTAATGATTGCCATTCTAACTGGTGTGAGATGGTATCTCATTGTGGTTTTGATTTGCATTTCTCTGATGGCCAGTGATGGTGAGTATTTTTTCATGTGTTTTTTGGCTGCACAAATGTCTTCTTTTGAGAATTTTTGAGAAGCATCTGTTCCTGTTCTCAGATGTAGGTAGAGGCCATTATCCTAAGCAAATTAACTCAGGAGCAGAAAACCAAACATCACATGTTTTCACTTATAAGAGAGAGCTAAACATTGGTACATGTGAATATAAAGATTGGAACAACAGACACTGGGGACCACTAGAGGAAGGAGGGAAGGGGATGAGGGTTGAAAAACTACCTATTGGGTACTATGCTCACTACCTCGGTGATGAGATCATTCCTACCCCAAAGCTCAGTGTCTTGAAATTTCCCCAAGTAATAAACTTGCACATATAGCCCCTGAACCTACAATAAAAGTTGAAAAAAAATGTATATCACATTTGCAGAAGTCAAAAGTTTAATGACTGTATTAGAAATGGAACAAAGGTTTCAGAAATGCTGGAAAAACTGAGCCAACTCTAACAAGATGAAGTTGAAGGGAGATAACAATGTAAAATTTGTTTAAAAAAACCATTGTACATATATGGAGAAGGAATATAAATTAAGCAGGTGTAAAACAGATGTATAGATTTATTGAAAACAAACTTGATATATTAAAGGATAAACTATAACTACCAAAATATGTAATTTATTTCTGGCCTGAATAAATAGCAGAATAGTTTATAAACCAAGGGAAAATGATAGTCTCGCTCTCATCTGTTACTAGTCATATCACACACGTAACATTTTATTCAGCCCTGAGCACCATTAAAAGAAGTATTATTAGAGCATAGTCAGGGAAAAGTTGGTGATGAGCTTCAAAACCATATTTTACAAGAATGGTTCAAGACCAAGAGAAGCCTGGACAGAAACAATGCTTTTACTAAGGTATACAGAAGGTTCTTGGGTAAAACAAAAATTCTCATTCTTCCTATATAATCACAATGGGAATAAGCCAAAAATATATTCATTTCAGCTGAATATAAATAAACATTATGGAAAAAACCTGAGCTACCCCAAAGTGTATTCACCCCCCTTTAAGACGCATATTCAAAAAGAGCCTATAAGTCCACTGAATGTCAATTTTGGAAGGAAAAATTCAATTAAAGTGGGAAGCTATATTAAATGATAGGTATATTAAATCATCGTTCAACTCTCCTAAAATATTCTTTTCCACAGCTTCCCCAGTTGGTAACAGCAAGGCACTGGGGAAAATAATCTTGAAGTAATCTTCAGTCCAACCATACCCTCAAGTGAGCTGGAGGTGAAAGAACTACTGGAAGAGACCCAAGAACTACTGTTAACTCTGACAATTAAATTCAATTCGGCTCAAGAAATAGATGACTTACTATACAGAGAGCACTCTGTACTTGGCTCAACAAATAATTGAGTAGCCACTATATACAAAGCACTCTGAGGAACCAGAGAGATGTAAAAGACATAAAGAAGAGAAACAGTACAGACCTGCAAGCATGCTTGCTTGTTAGACAATCACACCAGGTGTGACTTTTCTAACGTAAAAGCTGATTTGCTTACCACAGCTCTACCACTATGGATACTATTCCCATGGTTCTGCAGGTTAGGGAAATCCTAAGTATCAATACCAGGCCTGGGGTCAGTGCTTAACTACTGAAATCTTGATGTTCACAAACTCTTCAAGGACACAGGCCTCAAAATTTTCTGCTTAGGAACATATCCTCCCCTACCTTGAAAGGCCAGTAGAGATTATCACTGCAACAAAGGCAGAAGAATACAATAGAAAAAAATTTCGAAACCTTTCTCAAACGCAATATCTAGGTGGCTGTGTGGCACACACAAGATACAATGAAACAGACAATGCTGAAGATAGCAGTAATAATGGGAGAACAGCACTGACAGAATTCAGTGTTCTTAAACAACAAAGCAGCAGTAGCACAGAGTAAATTGTGAGATAACAATAGTGAGAAGATTATCTGAGCTTAAAGACTTCTGAAATAAAGAATTTGAGACAATTTGGTTTAAATGAGGCTCAGCAGATCCATCCTAATTCATCCATCCATCCATCCATCCATCTGCCTACCTACCCACCTACCTACCTATCTATCTATCTGTTTTAGTGTAGGGAAGAAAAAAAATTGCAAAGAACTAAACAAATTCCCTATAGGGGCTAGGAAGAAATAAGTAAAAAATCAAATTCCTTTAATTTATTTATTAATGTAGAATTGATGCTAGCAAGTTTGCAATGAATCATCATAGTTTGATACATTATTAGTGTGAAGATAAACTGGATCACTCCTTTGGGAAACCAATTTGGCAATATACATAAATAATCTTAAAATACCTTCACACTGTTTGCTTCAGTATTTCTTCCTTAAAAATTGTAAGAAAATAATACTAAATGTGGAAAAGCCTTATTTATAAAAATGTTCATAAACAATATGCAATAATATGGAAAAATGTTTAAGTTATAAATACCCATATTTAAAAATCCTTTAGAAAAAGCCCTAATCCATAGGGGGGAAATGGAAGAAAAGAAAACCAAAATCAACAGTCATTATCATCACACCTAATTATATTTGGGTAGAGAACTATGCGTAATTTAGTCTCTTTTTTATCATTTTAAACATTTCCTAAATTTCCTTTATGAGCAACTATTTCTTTGACAATTAAAAATAAAAATAACTAAATGAATGAGGAGGAAAAAAAGGAAGTTAATTATGTGAAAGGGATGAGAATTAGAAACATTTGAGATAAGTTAATAATGATTTGCTATAACTCATCCTTTTACAACATTGTCAGAAATTAAAAGGTGCCAATTATGGAAGGGCAAGCTGGTGGGTATATAAAAACGTGGAAACAATATACCTTGTCACTCAAATTATCTCTATAAGAAATCCCTGAGGTCTTTTCTTAAGACCCTTCAGTCCGTTGACTGGTCTGAAAAAGGCAGAAGGACCTAATGATTCTCTGAAATCTTTCTCTCAAAATCAAACTAATGGAAACCTGACCATTTACAATCTTTTAATACACAATTTTACATAAAATTTTTCTATTCATTTGTTTGGGAAAACATACAATAAACATTATTAAGGTATTCACTCTGACTATATGGGTTCTAATGATGGCTCTACTATCTCAGTGACTTTAAACAGTACTGAAAGCATAAAAGCATATACAGTCAGTCCTCCATATTCATAGGGTTCACATCCATCGATTCAACCAACCACTGCTTGAAAATATTCAGGGGAAAAAAATGGATGGTCGCATCTGTGTTCAACACATACAGACTTGTACATGTACTTGAAATGTATTTGTACATTTCTTGTCACTATTCCCTAAACAATACAACTAATTATATTGCATTTACATTGTATTAGATATTGTAAGTAACTCAGAGATAATTTAAAGTATATGGAAGGGTGTGTGTAGGTTATTGTATGTGATTATATAAAAGGGACTTAAGCATCTGTGGATTTTGGTATCCTTGGGGCATCCCGGAACCAATCCCACACAGATAATGAGGGACAACTGTGTAAGTGTTTCCTTTTATTCTAACAGACTCCGTGAACTGTATTTTCAAGAAAAACATCAAGATCATTTATTCATTTTCTTACTGATTTACTAAACTTGAAGAAAACCAAAACTTCCCAATGGATTATTAATAGTTTAAAACAATAGTACTGCCAAAGCAAATATTATTAAATAATGTATCAAATACCTCTGATTAACTGAATCATCAAGATTTTTAAAATGGCTTAATTTTGTGTAAATATAAATTGTGGCTCTTTAAAATTGCTTTGTATTTTCATTCATTAGTTGACAATGACAAAAAACATAAAACTCCTAGCACTGCAATACATCTTAGCTAAGTGTACGACTATAACCATTTATTTTCTAACTTATATATTACCAAGAGCCTATTAATAATGTCATACATTGGTGTTGAATTATAAATTCTCTTAAGTCATATATGTTTTAGAGTTGCATGTAAATTTAACTCTTATACAGCTATATCTTCTGTTTTTTAGTTTTTTGTTTTACGGCCTATTGGAGTACTACAAAAGAGGCATGCTTACTTATAAGTAAATTAACTCTTTTAGACTATGAGATTATCATTTATTGATGAGAAGTTTAATAAATGCTTCTGAAGTTTGAAGACTACATCCAATGTTAATTATTACTGACTCCATGCTTAAAGGTAAAATACGATTATGTTATATTAGTAGTTAAATAAAGAAACTAGACACTAAGTTTGATATGCAAAGAACTTTACCTGAGTAGGAAAAATCTAAATATAAGTAATGTAGATTAGCTATATAATAGTAAGAACTAATTAGAAAAAGTAGATCTGTGTTTCATTTACAGACAGGTATATAGCTGAAAAACCACTGGAATCATACAGGGGAATCAATATCTAGGTTTTTATTCATATGCTAGAAATTTTCCTGATGCCTGACTGAATCAGGTTGAAATCACTCCTTCGTATGAGATCCTTTAGCAAACATAAAAGCACAACATTCTACTGTGAGTAGCATACAAAGGGCATTATAATGTCTCATACCAGGCATCAGCAAATTTTTTTCTGTACAGAAAAAAATTTTTTTTCTGTAAATTTTTTTCTGAAAAATTTTTTTCTGTAAAGTAAATATTTAGGCTTTGTAGAACATAACATTTCCATGACAACTACTCTCTACCATTGTAGCACAAAAGCACCCATGGGTAATATATAAATGAATGAGTGCTGCTATGGTCCAGTAAAATTGTATCTACAATAGTCAGCGGACTGTAATTTGTCAGCTCCTATCTTGCCCTATAGTTATCCATATAAAGTCCATATAGCCCCTTGTAGTCTAAGTGCTCTTGGAGAACTGAAAATCTGTTTTACTTAGAAATCTCCTTATCTTACACAGAATTAAGAATAGTCCCTGGCACACAATAGCAACCTGATAAATACTTAAATGAAAGAATGAGTGATTCTATTATTCAAAATATTAGGCCTACATCATATGATTAACTTGATTGACAGAGAAGTTAAAACCTGCCTGTCATAATAACCTGCATATAGTGACATTCACTTGTAATCACAAGACAAATATTAGGAAAACAACTCTAGAAAAAGTGGTCTAAGAAGATGCCTAAAGCCAGGCATGGTGGCTCACACCTGTAGTCCCATCACTGGAAGACCAGGGCAGGTGGATCACTTGAGTTCAGGAGTTTGAGACCAGCCTGGCCAACATGGTCAAACCCTGTCTCTACTACAAATACAAAAATTAGCTAGGCGTGGTGGCACACACCTGTAGTCCCAGCTACTTGGGAGGCTGAGGCAGGAGAATCACTTGAACCTGGGAGGAGGACATTGCAGTGAGCCAAGATCACTCCACTGCCTGGGTGACACTGGTGATCACTCTCCAGCCTGGGTGACAAAGCAAGACTCCATCTCAAAAAAAAAAAAAAAAAAAAAAGATGATGCCTGAGTTGGTAGAACATGTCCTATGTGCAATCCCTCAAGCTACTTCTACCCATGTTAATATTATTGTCCTAATCTCAAAGCTTATAATTTATACCTAAAATGATGATTTTACTCTAATCAGATATAATCCACATAAAGAATATTTTCTTTTACTTACACTGCATTCCAAAGTTATTGTGTATTCTCCCCACAACACTTTTGTACTAATCTGAACATTGAACATTTTCTCTCCTTTCACTTCAAAAACTTCTCAAATATCCTGTGGTATCCTTTAGAACTATAGCATCCAAACACATGGCTAAATATTGAAGCCAATTCATATTCTAAAATGCGTTAATCCCTCTAACGCTACAATGTATTGCATAGTTCCTATGACTTTTCTGCAATCTCTCCCTCAAATTCTAGAAATTAATTTTCCTGCTTATTGGATTCACACAATTCAATGAGTTACTCTTAAGAGTCCAGGACTATTATAGAACCACAATTTATGCCCTTAACATAGCATAGTCAATAAATATTTATTGACCTAATTTATAGATTTGAAATGCAAAAATATCTGGTTAATTCAGATTAAATCCAAATTTGGACTTTGCAATGATTCATCCTACAAACTGTTTAAATAAGTAGCATAAATTGTTATGGAAATTTTACATATTTAAGAGAATAAACTTTTCAAATAACTCAGTGGAACTCATTTTTATTCAACTGATACAGACACTAGAAACGACTTAAAGAAAGATTTCCTCTAAGGACACTTACAAGGCAATTTTGTGTTTGCCTAATTTGAGTTCCTTTAATTTTTCTGTAACTATATTTATTTCATTGAAATAAAACTGAATTACTTATTTAAAAGGTTTTATTTATCACTAATTCAAACTAATCACTGATTCCCTGACTGATAATTTATAGATTACAAACATACAAAAGCACTATAGCCTGAAACATCAAAATCTTGTCCATCATAATGACTGAGAAAAATCCAACCGATGATGACTCAACAACATTGCAAATCTATTACAAAAAAAAATTCAAAACATAAAGTATATGACTATAAAATTAGTACTTTCCAAAAGTAGGTACTTGAATATAACGTGATTTTGATGTCTTCATCATTAAGGTTATAGTGTTTAGAATACACAGCAAACACTGTTTCAATTTATTCTACATATCTCAATATATTCAGTAGATGACTGCTGTGTTTTCAAAAGGAGAGGTAAATTTTTTATTACCCTCTATGGATAAAAAACTGTTAAAAGAAATATTAAAACACTGATCAAGCCTGATAATACATCTGATTAAAAATTTCTATGATCTCAAAAATCACACCTCCAACATAAAGTTAATTTTAAAATAATTTTTCCTATGTCACAAATTAAAAGAAAAAAATTCACATAGAATTTCTTCTATATCAAATAACTAAGTCTTCATTTTCTTCTCAAGAAAGAAATATCAGGTCACTCTATTACCAGCCATCTATAAATACATTATTCAAGAACTTTATCACAGGCAATATTATTGTCACACAAGACACGTCGTCAGTAGTATCTTTGTCAAACGACATGATCTTGTTAGGGTCACTTAAAAATCTTATCTCAGATTCCTATATGTGAAATGAGATAGTGTTTACTCACAGAAGCTTTTAGAATAGACCTCGTTTATAATGTCAAGAGCATTATATATGTTCAAAAGCGTTATAAGTGTTTCCAAATTTCAACTTGCAGTGTTTTCCAATAATTTCTTACCAATTTAGCATTTTTAATTATAAAATTCCTGAAAAAGTAAATGAATAATTGTGAAGATGTTATTTCTATAAAAATACGCCATCTACTAATAATTATATTAAACTTAGAACTCTATTAAGAACATAAGTAAACATCTTAAAGCTATACTTTACAGAGTATGTACATAAACATTCTTTGTGTCATGTATAATCTCAGACAAAATTACTGCACATCTCTTGCTACAGTCCACATTTTATTCAAAAATAAATTTAAAAATTTAAAGAACAGGTCATACAACTCTGTACCTTGTTTGTGCCTTGCAATTAAAATAATTGAATTTATAATATATATTTTGCCATTTTTAACTGGCATCAACCTTATTTACAATTGCTTAAGTAGAAAATAAAATAAAACTGGGGTCAAATGTTTAAGTCAATGATAGGTATTTCTTTTGTATAAAATATCCTTTTTGGAAGTTTTCAAATTTTTGCAAATTATTTTCATTCATGAATTCTACTATTATGTACTACGTTTCTTGATATTTATCACCTTAAACCTTAGAATTTTAGAATCTCAAAAACTAATTTGGCTCCATTTACTATAATGAAGGTGGTGATATGTGCCTTTCATGTTAAATATTTATCAGACATAACAGACTCCTGCTAAATTTATTACTGTTATTTTCTTCACCTTTGGAGAAAGTCATATATAAAAGCAGAATAAAAGTTACCATTAAAAAATTATAAATATGTTCTTTGGAGAATTCTGCCTATGTAGGAAATGCAGGTAATGTACCAGCTGGAGCCTATTTCCTAACGCAGAGCCATCTTTTTGTTGTTTAAAGGTGTGAAAAATGCAGAAAGGTGCCATGAATGATGCATTTAAAAATCCTACAGTGGGCCGGGGCGGTCGCTCATGCCTGTCATCCCAGCACTTTGGAGGGCTGAGGCGGGTAGAACACGAGGAGGTCAGGAGATCGAGACCATCCTGACTAACAAGGTGGAACCCAGTCTCTACTAAAAACACAAAAAATTAGCTGGGAGTGCTGGTGGGCGCCTGTAGTCTCAGCTACTCGGGAGGCTGAGACAGGAGAATGGCGTGAACCCGGGAGGCGAGCTTGCAGTGAGCAGAGATAGCGCCACTGCCCTCCAGCCTGGGCAACAGAGCGAGACTCTGTCTAAAAAAAAAAAAAAAAAATCCTACAGTGATTGAGATCCATTTCAGATTCATCAAGTAATACCTCAAACTGTTTACATTAAAGCAAAAATAAGTCAAGAACATCTACTATTGCAAGTAGAAGGTTGTCAAGTTTATTGTAAAAATCTACCTGAAATAAAAATTACAGAACTCAGAAAAACTATATAACCTATCTTTATAAGACAATATTGAGACATTATTGGATAGTGTTATTTGTACTATCAACATAAGCTGTTTTGTGAAATGTTAAAATATTTTTTAAATATTCCGCATTCTTCTTCTTTTTTTTTGAAATGGAGCCTCACTCTGTTGCCAGGCTGGAGTGCAGTGGTGCGATCTCGGCTCACTGCAACCTCCGCCTCCCGGGTTCAAGCAATTCTCCTGCCTCAGCCTCCCGAGTGGCTGGGACTACAGGTGCATGTCACCATACCCAGCTAATTTTTGTATTTTTAGTAGAGATGGGATTTCACCATTTTGGCCGGGATGGCTTTGATCTCCTGACTTCGTGATCTGCCCGCCTCGGCCTCCCAAAGTGCTGGGATTACGGGTGTGAGCCACCGCGCCCAGCCTTCAGCATTCTTTTTAACCAAATATTAATTTTTCTGATTATAAAAGAAATTTTTACCAATGCTCATTGTAAAAAATTAAAACAAAATAGTCATGAAGAAAAACCTTAATGACATCATGTTAATATTTTAAAAAAACACTTTTACTATTGAAAAAAGTTATGAATATTTTAAAATACAGAGCAAGACTAGCACTGAATCAAACTTCCATTTATGAGAAATCATAAAATAGGAACTGTTTTCTCTACTCTAGCAATTTTGTTTTCCTCAATATCTATGTATTTGGTTACAGGATTACCACTTTCTACATATCACTCAATCTAAAATAAAGTTAATTTCTGCTCAAGGAAAAGAGCATCTTTTGGAACCTACACGTCAGAGTACAGCACTGACTGAGTAACACATACATGCTCCTATGCACCAAAATGGCCCTACCTACACATACATGATGCTATCTATGCTCAGAATGTTATACCAGCAGATTTCTCACATCTAAATCTTTTTTATCTACTTATTATGTAATTGTATCTTTTTCACATCTAATGATTACCTTCTAGCGTGGGGAGAAAAAGAGGAAAGGTCCTTTAAGGCAACTTCATTTATCTTTAAATTCACATAATTTATGTTATCTATGGAGCAAATCAGCTTATTAATCATTGTTTCTCCCAAGAAATAGATATATGACAAAATACTTCAAATCCCATTTTAATAAATGAGGAAAATTAAAGTGCAAAGACAAATGACAAGACATCCCTGGACAATCCTTCCTATTATTACTTCCCTAACGAGAATAAAATGTTTAAGCATATTTAGTGTAATAAAGTAAGAGGTAGGTTAACCTCAGAATCATGCCTGTCTCATCACAACATCCGCTTGCTGGATATCTTTAATCTCAAACGATGTCTTCATGAATAACTATTCCTGGGAAACGAGCTTTCAGAAATATACTTGAAATATCTGAGTTTAACCCCAAAATTTGAATTTAAATAGATTTGCAAAAAGAAATGCTATCTTAGAAAACCCTAATGCTCAATGGTTTATTCCTGTTTGAATTGGGATTAGTGACCTTTAAGTTGTGATGTTAATAAATATGGCACCCACAAAGATAACAAAACAGCAGCTACCGGCTGGGTGCAGTGGCTCACACCTGTAATCCCAGCACTTCAGGAGGCCAAGGCAGGCAGATCACGAGGTCAGGAGATCAAGACCATCCTGACTAACGCCGCGAAACCCCGGCTCTACTAAAAATACAAAAAATTAGCTGGGCGTGGTGGCAGCTGCCTGTAGTCCCAGCTACTTGGGAGGCTGAGGCAGGAGAATGACATGAACCCAGGATGTGGAGCTTGCAGTGAGCCGAGATAGTGCCACTGCACTCCAGCCTGGGCAACAGAGCAAGACTCCACTTCAAAACAAACAAACAAACAAAAAACAAAACAAAAACAGCAGCTACCATATTCTGAACACTTTTTATGTGCCAGGAGCTATGCTGGGCACACAGACTACAAAATTTCATTTAGTCCTCAAATTCAGCTAAACAGAGAGCTACAAGTCTCTGACTTAAGATTTTTTAATCAATGCCAAAACTAAGGTTTTGGAGCATTTGGTATCTTACCCAAGGCCAAGCAGTTTATGAGGGCCTGGATCTCAGCCCAAGTTTCATATACTAATAGTGTCAATTATGAAGCTTTCCAACACTCTATAACTCTAGAAACAACTATGCAAATAATAGAACCCTTAGGAAAAAGAATACAGAATGCATTGTTTTTTGGCTGTCTTTTATAGCCAAACTGGATAATTACCACAAAATACAATATAATGATGAGAAAAATGGTTATGCTTCCTATTCTTAAAACACATTACCTAAAAAGAGAGGTTTCAAAATAAGGATTAGCTTATTATACAAACACATTAAAATATGATAAAAGGAAGTTAAGTGGTTTGTCCTAGAGTTGTATATAAAATACTATAGTAAATAAATAAACTCAGAATTTGCCTCATTCAGCCTCTTTCAGCCTATGATAAAGCCTTTCTTTTCACTCTTCCTCTTCAAAACAATTTTTTTCCAAAAAGAAATTGATAGAGATTTCAAAAAGGTATTCAAGGGAAATAACAAAAGTAAACCAAAGTAATATCAACAATTTCAGTTTGATTATAGACTAAACTGGTAAGTTTGAGCTTATCAGATTGCTGTTTTAATAAAAGAAACTTTTAAGATCAAAGAAAAAGATATCACAAGACAAGAAAAGAACTCAAGCAAAAGACTTACGATGAGAAAAAAATAAATAAAACTCAGAGAAATATTGTAGGGAAAAGGTACAGACAGAGGTACAAAAATTTAAAGGCTTTTGAAATGAAAGCAGCGCAGCCTACCGGTGAAGCAGGCAGGCTTTGGCCCAGGCCTACTGGATGGGCGGGAACCTCTGCCATTGACTAGTTAACTGACGAATAATCATTTTTCTTTCGTTTCCTTATCTCTGGAGTGGAAATAATAACTATTATCTCAAAAGGCTGTAGTGAGGATTTAAGGTATAACACATGTAAAAGTGAACAGTGAGCCTGGCATATAATTGTTATTAATTACTATGGGGAAAAGCCAGAAGGGGAAAATGCAGTAAGCATGGCCTCAGGCTTTCTGTACACAGAATCCACTGGGTCCTTTCTAACTATATTTATACCTTAAAGAAATAAAAATACGATTCCCAAATAATATGTATAATTTAGAAGTCTTATATGTGATATCTGAAATGTTAGCAGTACACTTCCTTGAACTTTGTTTTCCTTGAACTGGTCTGAATTTAAAAGGCACATTTAAACCAAGATGCCACTGGCAAACAGGGGACAAGAATAAATATAAACCCAAGCTACAGAAGTATAAAACAATCAGATTTTGATTCCCAAAAAAGTAAACTCTTGTCCTAAGTGTTTTATTAAACTGAGGCAAAGTCTCATTTTGATATATAGAATATTATTTTATTCTTTATTTTAAATCTTTCTTACATGTTTAAAAATATACAGGGGTTCAGAACAACCTCAATAAAATGACAACATTTCTACTAAAAGACCTTTGAAGCCAAACCACCAGGGTGCAAACATGGTTGGCTTCTAATTTGAAGAGTCATAGGCACATTTTATTAAATGCATTTCATAAAACAAAGAAATCAAAAATGCTGAGAAGAAAAATACTCAGTAGTTTGATATAAATTTTAAAATATCTTTCAGGCAAGAAACTTATGGTAAAAAAGTAATACTTAGATGTTTTACTGCTCATACTTGCTTCGCTAATTCCCCAAATGCTACTTTGCTACATCTAAACCCCTGACAATTTATCACACAACCCCATGTAGCAGGCAAAAAAATAAGTTAATCTCTGCATTTGAAAACAGATCATTACAAAAGAAAATACTGTCAGCTCTTACCTGTATTTGATAATTAAGTATATTATATTCTCAGCGGCACTAAAAATGCAGCTTTGTCTAATATAAATATCTAAATAACAATTACACAAAAGTATTTTTCTCTTAAAATAGGTTTTTGTATATACTTTTTCCAATGTTGACAACTTAAACAACATTGATCTATATATTTTGCTAAGAAAACGTTAGGCACAGATAACATAATTTACATTTTCTTTGCTGTGAAAAACATAGTATGTGCAAACGCATATCACACAAATGACTGACTAGTGGACACAACAGTAAGCTATCGTAGACCTAACACAAAAAAGATTCATGTTTTATTTTATTTATTTATTTTTAAAAAGGGCATTCTAAGTACCCTTAAGAGTAATACCTCACTGCTGGGTGAGTATCCTGCATCTGCATTACAATTACTAGTGGGTTTTCTTAAAGAAAAACAAAGCTTTACTATAGCAAAAAAAAGACATCACTTTTAAGCACATGAACTAATTTAAAAGGAACCAGATAAAAATGTTTCCAAAAGCCATTAAAAATATTTAATAAGCTACCAGATTGCTTTGCTGGAAGAAATACATTATTTAACATCATGGATGCTCTATACAGTAGATTCTTTCAATAGCTAAGACACTTCTAAAGTAAGGTACCAATGGATGCAGATCAAGAAAAAGAGAGAAAAAAAACAGGAGACTGTTAGGAAACCAGGGAAAAGCAAATGTCATTTTACCCAGAAGAAACAAAAATACTGTTTCTATTTGTTTATAGCAGAAAAACTGTGCTGCAGAGAACATTATAAAAACACAAGCAAAGGGGTTGTTTGGCAAATAATAAAATGCAATGCTTACTGTGCATCCTCCATGAAGAGATCACTTATGGATTATAGATTAGTGTGATTAAAGGTACACTTTGATGCAAAAGATTATACTTTACCACATATATAATATGTAGCACTTTTCTACAAAGGGCAGTTTATGTAAGTAATAACTTCCACAAAGAGTGAGAGAAACATAGACAAAATGAGAAAGACAGAGGCAGGGTACAGTCAGACAGAAAGACAGAAATGCTGAGCCAAGGGGCTTGCTCATGTCCTGCAGAAGATTTGAGATATTCTTTTTCATCTCAGTGCTTAATTTTTCCTATTACTGCACACTAATACTCACATGCTATAATTATTTCATGAGCTAACCCTCTATACATCCTTCCCTTTAGTTTCTTCCATGAAAAAGAAAAAAAAAGAGAGAAACCTTTAGTCTCATACTTCATTTTACAGTCAACTATTCAAGTAAATATTTCTCTGATGGCAAATTTCCAGATGAATCTAGAATATGATCCAAAACCACTGTCAGATTACATTTGATTTACTATGTAGCTCTCTTCAAATGGAGCAAGAATTAGCCCGTTTCCTAGGTTTGGGTTCTTGTGCTTCCTGATCCTTCACACACATACAGGATGTGCACATTGTCTCAGACAGTCTTCGGAGGCCTAGCCGGAAAACGCTGTTGGAGAGGCTGTATATTACACAGTTACAAAAACTATTACTTATTGCAAGCCAGGTTGTTAAGAAGGACAGAGTTGGATTGTCCAAGACCCGGGAGCTTTCTAGAAGAAAGTAAATTATATAGGGGAGCCACAGCATATAAAATACACTGGTTATCCTAAACAAAACCATGGCGTAGCGACGGTCAGGGCTGTGTCCAGTCTCTCTGGAAGAATCTACCTCATGACTAGGGAATCGGGCTCTTCGGTCATTTATCTCTTTGGTGTGCTGACGGCAAATTTTGAAAATGTGGAAGTAAGTGAAGCAGACAACAAAGGCAGCAGGAGCATAAAGTAAACAAACAATAAAGCCAGTAAAATAGGCACTGGTGAGCCAAGACGTGGCACACCATTCAAAAATGTCACCATGGTAACCAGGTTTCCCCCAGCCAAAAAAGGAAGGCAAGAAAATTAGGCAGGAGTAGATCCAGATCAAAATAATGCAAATTCTCAAGCGACAAGGGGTGACCAGTTGATTGTAGGAAAGAGGCTTGGTTATTGCAAGATAACGATCCACACTGATGCAAGCAAGACATGCCATAGAAACACTTTTTAGAACTGAGATGATATATCCAAAAACCTGGCAAGTCAATGACTCGTGGACACCTGTGGAGTAGTGGAGAAGTGACAGAGTAGGAACCAAGCAGCTAACTCCAACGAAAAGATCAGCATATGCCATCGTCTGAATGAAATAGCTGGTAGTATAATGATGTAACAGTGGAGCACAATGAAAGACAAAGATAACTGTTAGATTCCCAGCAATGATCAGAAATGTCAGCAACACAATAACCACTGTCTCGAAGATGCAGACATCCACCACACTGTAGTGGCCAAATCCAAGTGGGCAGGAGTGACGCTCGGACACATTCACAATGCCACTGCTCATGTTCAGGATCCTCCATTCAGTCCACCTGGATTCATTCATGGCTTGGAAATTTAAAGACACCTGCAGACTTGGCTACAGCAAGCAGATGCCCTGCCCAGCATCTGTTAAACACCGCACATGAGTGTTTCAGAACCTGCTTCAGTAGACAGTGTCAGTGCTTCTGTCACAGCTGAGAGTCCCAGAGAGTGCTCAAGTCTCTTCACCAGCCTCAGTTCAGCAGTGACACACCTCAGCTTTCGGGCGGGGGGGTGGGGGGGGGGCGGTAAGGGGTGGAGAGAAGGGGATAAGCTAGAAAGGAGGTGAAAAGAGGTCACTAATTAGTTTCCTCTGGTGCCCTCAAAGAACTTTTTGCAGACATAAGGCACTTCTAGAGAAAATAGACTTCTTATTATCTTGCACTATGAAAAATTAAATCTGTAAAAAGAAAAAAAATGAATTGCCAAAGGAAGAAAAGCTTCTGTGGGCTGTTCTCCTAAGAGAGGCAGTTTCTTAGGGAGCAACTGGAAAGAATGAGAAAAGAAAAACTCTGAAACTGTCTCAGGCTTCCTGCTTTATCTATGATGAAAAATGCATTCATATTTTAGATTTTAAATAATTTAAGATCTCAAATTTGGTTGAAAAGCTAAGAAAAAGTTCATTGTGGCAAAGAGTGTCTTTGGGCTTAGTTCAGGGATTGATGTTGGGGGGTCAAATTTATAACCTATTTCTCATTTTTCTAAAATCTAAGAAAAACAACTCTATCAAAGTTAATTTGAAAAGATTCATCTCTACATGGGCAGAATAGAGGTAACAAACAGACTCCAGATTGCCCTATAACTCTCATGAGAAAAAAGTATTTTCCAATAGAAAAGAGAATATACAATGAATTAATGAATTAACACCTGGCAAAATGTAATAAACTTCTGAAGTTTTAATTCTGCATGCATTTTTAAAGCATTTAGATGAAAGCAGTTTTAATCCATTACAGTTACTGGTGGTACTAACAGCAACGTAACTTATACCTCTTCCTTTTCAAAATGAATTATTTTTGCTATTAATTTGGCATCTATAACTTAAAATAACATTTGTTATTTCATATACCACCTTCCTTATAATGGAGCATGATAATAAAATATGTAGCTCACAGTTATTTCTCACCTTTGCAACTGTATACCCATATCTCACATATATATGTAAATATAAAGTTAGACAATAAAACTTTCCAATATACTCCGAGCTTATTTGACCAGAAATGCTGCCATTATTTATTACTTAGGTATTTCTAATAGGCTTCATGTTCTATGTTGCTATACCTTTTCTATTTTCAGTAGATGATTTAACACATTAAATCATTACTTCAACTATATCTTCTGAAAGTGGAAAATTACCTTGTTTATTACATTTGCAGTTATGTAGCAGCCATATGTTAAAAAATGCCTCTTCTATTTTTCTGTACTCTATTTTGAGCAAGTGCTCAATTAACACAGGGGCCATTAGGTAGGTTGCAAGATAGTCTTATTTTAAAATACCTCTAAAGTATCAAGATGAACTTTAAATCCTAGAGTTTGAAACATTGCAAGGCTGCCAGGATAGAATCCATCCAAAATGCTTCCAAGGTCATTTTGATATCAGGTTAACATTTGCCAAAGTATTTTTTAAAAGTGAAGTCATTTCAGAGAGTCTCCTGTCATTCTTTGTTATCCTATCTTTTGAAGAAATAACATGCATTAGAAATAACATTTCCTCCAGGAACAATGCAGCAGCTTAACAGAAAGCATTCTTCTGAAAGTTATTTTCTGGTGCACCACCAAGTCATTCAGGCAAGTCCTTCTTCTTTTATAATAGCCATAGGATATTTCTTCTTCTACATTCCTAGTTTCACTTATCACAAAACAGTTCTCTTGTTACAGGAATAAGGTAATGCTTCTCACCTACATTCACTCTTATCAGCTGCTAGGCTGGGCTGCTTGATTCAGAAGTCCGATTTACTGTGATGCAGCTACAAGGATGCTGTCAGTATATTCTTCACAATCTCTCAGCATCAATGACTCCACCTGAGCCCAAGCCCTACTCCTCCTCCTCATCCTGGGCTGATGCAGAAAAACTCACCATCAGAAAGGTGACTCGGCCCTCCTGCCCCAATCAACAGCACAGCCAATGGCTACTGCAGCTGAAACTGTCACTAGGTAACAGTTGCCAGGCACATGCAGGCTTATAGACTTACTCGGCAAGCTCCGATCAAGACTGACAAAAGAAGACAATGGAACTGACCGATCTTTATAATATATTAAGGCATTTATGAACTTCTCAAGGTATTCTCCTTATAGCATTTGTAAAGATTATTTCGTATGGACAAGACAGAAAAAATAAACTGCCATACTCCTGTAAACCCTGTAAAGAAACTACCACAAGGTACTATGACACTAAAAAGTCAGCAGTAATCTAATGCTCATTGGCAGAAAAAACTTATTAATTATTAAAAATTTGCCAAGTCTTCATGAACTAAAGTGATATGACTACTAACTTCTCTCTAAAATATATAGTTACATTTTAATTAACAGAACTTAGAAATCATTTACTAATCTCTCCAATCCCCATCACCCCCACAAAAAATTGCTGAGTTTGATGTATTTAACTGTACAAACAAAGCAATAGAACTAACACTACTGTACCAAAATCTATTCAGAGCAATACTGAAGGTCAAATATGATCTCAAAAGAGCATAGAAATTAGAATAAATAAAAACATTGCTTATCCACTTTTTATCCTAATATGAAAAAAAAGGTCAAATGGTCAAAGAAATTTGTTCTAAGTGCTTGAGCTACACATACCTAAATTAGAACAATGCAAATTAATTTAATCAAATATTTGATGGACATTAAAACATTTCTGATTATTTTGACTTACTACAGACAAACATTCACTATTTTAAACTTCTTAGGGGATCAGCATTTTTCTTAAAAGTGACTTAGAACTAATTTACAAATTATGTCAGAATTAAAATACACCAGGAAAATTAAGATAAAAATGGAAGATAACTAACATTTGTTGAGTATTTTCTATATGCCAAGCATTGTGCTGTGTGCATTATATACTTTTCCTTTATAAAAATCTTAAAACTCTATGAAGTAGGTATCATCATTATCATTTTCCAAATGAAGAAAGCAGATAGTAGAGATAGTAAGTATAACTTGCCTATAATCACAGACTTGTGAAAATGGGACCGAAATAGGTTATTATTATTCTTAAAAGTCCTAAAAAACATAAAAAGATCAACAAAACAAAAACTTGATTTTTTGAAAAGATAAACAAAATCAACAAACCCTTAGCTAGACTAAGCAAAAAAGAAAGAAGACTCAAATAAATAAAATCAAAGATGAAAAGACATTACAATTGACTCCACAGAAATACAAAGGATCATTGGAGACTTGTGAAAAATATATATGCCAACAAACTGGAAAACCTAGAAAAAATGGCTAAATTCCTGGACACATACAATCTACCAAGATTGAACCATGAAGAAATAGAAAATCTGAACAGACTAATAATGAGTAAAGAGATTGAAGCAATAATAAAAAGTCTCCCATCAAAGACATGCCCAGAACTTGATGGCTTCACTGCTGAATTCTACCAAACACTTAAAGAAGAACTAATACCAACTCCACTCAAACTATTCTTAAAAAGTTAAGAGGAGAGAATACTTCCAAACTCATTCTGTGAGGCCAGCACTATCTTGATACCAAAAGCAGACATGGACACATACAACAAAAAAAATTATAGGAGGCCAATATCCCTGAGAAACATAGATGCAAAAATCCTTAACAAAATACTAGCAAACCAAACAACACATTAAAAAGATATGCCATGTTCATGGATTGGAAGAATTAATATTGTTAAAAGGACAATATCACCCAAAGCAACATACAGATTTAATGTAATCCCTTTCAAAATACCAATGACATTCAAATAAATAGAAAAAAAAAACCTAAAATTTGTATGGAACTACAAAAGACCCTGAATAGCTAAGGCAATCCTAAGAAAAAAGAACAAAGCTAGAGGCATCACTCTACCTGACTCCAAATACACTACAAAGTTATAGTAACCAAAACAGCATGATATTGGCATAAAAACACATAGACCAATGGAATAGAACAGAGAAACCAGAAATAAATCTACACATTTATAGTCAACCTAAATTCAGGAAAGGCACCAAGAAAATACACTGTTGAAAAGACAGTGTCTTCCATCAATGCTGCTGGAAAAACTGGATATCCATATGCAGAAAAATAAAACTAGACTCCTATCTCTCACCATATACAAAAATCAAGTCAAAGTTGATTAAAAACTTAAAGGTAAGACCTGAAACTATGCAGCTAATACAAGAAAACACTGGGAAATGCTTCAGGACATTGGTTTTGGCAAAGACTACTTGAGTAAGACCTCAAAAGCACAGGCAACAAAACAAAAATAGACAAACAGGATGATATTAAGCTAAAAAGCTTCTGCACAGCAAAGAAAATAATCAACACGGTGAACAGGCAACCTAAAAAATGGGAAAATATTTGCAAACTATCCATCTGACAAGTGATTAATAATCAGAAAAAAACTATTAAAAAGTCAGCAAAAGATCTGAATAGACATTTCTCACAGGAGGACATAGAAATTGCCAAGAGTTATATGAAAAATTACTCATTTTGCCTCTGGCAAATGCAAATCAAAACTATAAAACTATAATGAGATATAATCTCACCTAGTTAATATGGCTATTACCAAAAAGACAAAAAGTAACAAACGCTGGTGAGGATGCAGAGAAAACAGAACACTCATACACTATTGGGGGAATGTAAAACTAAAATAGCCATTATGGAAAACAGTATGGAAGTTCCTCAAAAATTTAAAAATAGAACTATCATATGATCCAGCAATCCCACTGCTGGGTATATATCCAAAAGAAAGGAAATCAGCAATATCAAACAGATAAATGCACTACCATGTTATTACAACACTATTCACAATAACCAAGATACGGAATCAACCTAAGTGTCCATCAAGACATGAACAGGTGGGGAAAAAAAGCAATATGTATATACAATAAAATATTATTCAACTATAAAAAAGAATGAAATTCTTACATTTGCAGCAACATGATTGGAACTGGAGGACATTATGTTCAGTGAAATAAACCAGGCACAGAAAGACAAATGTTGCATACTCTCACTCATATGTGGGAGATAAAAAAGTTGATCTTATTGAAGTAGTGAGTAAAATGGCAGTTGCCAGAGGCTGGGAAGGGTAGGGAAAAAGGAATGAAAAGAAGTTGGATAATGGTTACAAAAATGCAGTCAAATAGAAGGAATACGTTCTAGTGGTTGTAGTGGGGAGATTATAGTTAACAATTTATTGTATATTACAAAATAACTGGAAGAGAAGTTAGAATGTTACCAATACAATAAGTCATAAACATTTGAGATGACAGATGTCCCAATTTCCCTGATTTGATCATTACACATTGTATGCATGTATCAAAATATCACATGTACCCCATATATAACTATTATGTATTATTAATTGTAAAAATGATTTCTACTCCCTGATTCTAAAATAAAAGTTGGAAAAAAATTATTCCTAAAGAGTAGAAGGTCCTATTCTTTCCTCCATGTTGAACTTCCTTTCAGAGAAAACCATGTTACTGCCAAAATCTTTGGAGGTTTAGGTGAATATAGAACAGAAAGTGTATTTCTCATTACCAGAAATGAGACGTTTGTAAGATACATTAGAATAACGATTTTCAAGTGAATACTATGTTTAAGGATGAAAAGGCAATATTTAAATTTTATACAAAAGGCTAGAAAGTCCTATTTTATAGGGAAATATTTTGACTTTCAGAGATAATAGTATTAAAATCAAACAAAATCAGATATTCTCTAGTACAAGAAAAATAAATATTTAAAATAAAATTATATTTGATAAATATTCGTGAATGTAGATAGGTCCCACATTCCTTGTAAAGAAAAGTTAAATGCTAAGCTTTACTACCAAACCATTGAAAAAGTATAGCCATTACACATATTTGAAGCAGTTTTGAATCATAATATTTATAAAATTAGGAAAATGGCAAAAAATATCATTCAGAAAATTTCACATACTAAATCCCTTTAGTTTGTTTCCAAAAATAATCACTGGTAGCTATTTGAATCTACAAATACTATAAATAATTGATAATTGCACATGCTTCTAAAGGGAGATGAAAACATGAGATGAAGAGTTTCAGAAGCAGTGCCTTTGACCCACTAAGCCTCCCTCTTTCTTTCCACCAACTTTAAAAAAAAAAAAAAAGCTTCAGCAGCTCAAAGTAGTTTTTTCTTTTTAGCAACTGACTGTACTAGCTACTTCATTTTTTTGTTCGTTTTTTATTTGTTTGTTTGTTTGTTTGTTTTGAGACAGAGTTTCGATCTTGTTGACCAGGCAGGAGTGCAATAGCATGATCTCGGCTCACTGCAACCTTCACCTCCCAGGTTCAAGCAATTCTCCTGCTTCAGCCTCCCAAGTGGCTGGGATTACAGGCATGCACCACCACGCCTGACTAATTTTGTATTTTTAGTAGAGACAGGGTTTCACCATGTTGGTCAGGCTGGTCTCAAACTCCTGACTTCAAGTAATCCACCCCCCTCAGCCTCCCAAAGTGCTGGGATTACAGACGTGAGACACCACACCTGGCTGACTGTGCTAGCTTCCTTACTTTTCTTTCTTACCATACTTTTTTCCGATAGGATTATAATATGAACACATTTATAATGTGAAGCCTTACTGACAAAAGAGTACTAATATATATTTACATAGTTTCCTATATAAAGCATTCTTTGTTTTTAAATTAGGCATAATTCGCTTCATTTTCGGGGTCATTAGGTATCTTATTATTGCCATTTTTTTTTACAATCATCAGCTGCCTCCTTCTGCTTTCAACTGATGAATGCTAATCAGAAAATATCTAGGAGGAATCATTATATGGAATTACTTGAAACAGCCCAAACTGTATAACTTTATTACATGATACATCACAGGCATTTAATTTTTTATTTATATATTGGATATGTTTTATTCTTTATATATATATATAATACTTTTATTCTTTTATATTTATCAATATTTCATTATTAAAACATCCAGTCAATTCAAACTACTCCTCAATAGAACTTAAACAGCAAAGCCAGAAAGGACCATTAGCCATCAATGGCAAATAGGATAAACAGTAGGCAATGCCTATCAAAGAGAACTATACAAGCAATATAGTATCAAAGAAGGTAAACAAATAGAGACCAGTCAGGGTAGCTCACACCTGTAATCCCAGGACTTTGGAAGGCCCAGGCGGGCAGATCAACTTGAGGTCAGGAGTTCAAGACCAGCCTGGCCAATATGGTGAAGCCCTGCCTCTACTAAAAATACAAAAAATTAGCCAGGCATGGTGGTGCACGCCTGTAATCCCAGCTACTCAGGAGGCTGAGGCATGAGAATTGCTTACAGTGAGCAGAGATCACGCCACCGTGCACTCCAGCCTGAGCAACAGAGTGAGACTGTCTCAAAAAATAAAAATAAAAAAATAAACAAATAGAGACTAAAGTAAACCTGTTGTCCTTCAATAAATTTAAAAATGTACCAAAAGGCTTACGCATTCAGAATTTACCTATTTCCTCAACTACTTCTCCTACCTGGTAACTTTTCTCCATCTTCACTATCATTACCCTAGCAAACCAGCATCATCTTGTGCTTAGACACCTGTAGTGGCTTCCAATGTGGCCTTGAGTTGTTTGTAGTCTCTCTTCAATCCATTATTCACAAAAGAGACAAAATATTTTTTTCCACAATGCAAACCAGATCGCGTTGCTTCTGTTTTAAAATACTTCACTGGTTTTACATTGCCCTTATGATAAGATCTTAATAGGTGCTACAAAAACTGGTCTCTATGCATCCATCCAGTCTCACTTCTCTTCTATGTTGTTTAGGATTAGCTAAACTACCTCTACCTCCCCACCAACTCATATCCCTCACCCACCAGTCACAAATATATTTGCTATGTTCCCTACGGCCTCAGGATATTTATAACTGCTTACTAGGCCATCACACTTCTTTTTATTTAATTCAGATGCAATCTTTAGGTCTCAGTTTTAACACCACTTCCTCTGGGAAATCTTCCTTGAGTTCTCACAGGGAACCAGACCAGATTCTACACATATTATAGTTTATAATTATTTACTTCATTCACCTTTGTCTTCTTGACTAGATTACAAGTCCCATGAGGAGAGCAACATCTGCTTTCTTTGCCATTGCATTTCAAGTGCCTACACTGCGGTGCTAGACACAGAATAGGTGTCGAACAAATAAGTGTTTAACATAATTTTAATATAAAGCACATAAAATAGCTAAAAGAGTCTATCAAAGGACTGAAAAACACTAACACCCAGTCTATGTGAAGCTCAGAATACACAAACTTCACAAGAAAAAGCTAGAAAATGCATTTCCCAATTGTGGGAGGGGGAATTAACCTCCTAATATATTCAAATGAAGGGCAGTATTAGTCATCTATAAATCTCCCTAAACTAAACTGAGTATTTCACTAGTGCTTTGAAAAGTCCTATCTAGCAATTGACAATGATTATTTAATTACTTATCATCTAAAAAATGCCAAATGCTGCAAAATACAGTACCAATGCACTTTAAATGTACTATCAACTGTAGTATTAAAGCAACTTGGTCTAAGTGCCAAGAATCAAATAAACCCTCTGAAGTGAAACATATCACAATCTACTGATTTAGTGACCGCTCAAGAGCAGAAAACAATTTCATGTTGTCAATTTCATTTCATTATGAGACAAATTATTAGCAACTAAGAATATTTAAGAAAAGTTAATTTAGTGGCACTACAAAAGAAAACTTCCTCAACCTGATAAAGACACTTTATGGGAAAACCTACATCTAGCATAATATTTAATGGTGAAATATTTAATGGTGAAATATTAAATGCTTTCTTCCCGAGACTGGGAAAAAAGGAAGGATATCTGCTCTTACACATCTATACACATTGTACTAGAGGTCCCAGCCAGTTTAACAGGCAAGAAAAAAAAAAGCCATACAAGAAAAGGAAGATATAATTGTGCACATAAGAAATACTAAAATGTCTTCCCAAGAGCCCACTAGAATTAATGAATAAATTTTGTCGGAACACAGGTCAATATATAAAAATCATTGCATTTCGATATACTTGTAAGAAACAGTAGGAAACAAAATTTAAAAACAATAAATCATTTAAAGTAGCCTTGAAAAACAGAAAGTAGGTGAAAATGTATAAAACCTCTACTCTGAAAACTATAAAATGTCATTTGAGAAAAATTAAAAAGTCATATATATATATATATATATATATATATATATACACACACACACTTTTTTTGGGTTTTTTTTGACAGAGTCTTGCTGTGTCTCCCAGGCTGGAGTGCAGTGGCGTGATCTCGGCTCACTGCAAACTCCGCCTCCTGGGTTCAAGTGATTCTCCTGCCTCAGCCTCCCAAGTAGCTGGGATTACAGGTGCCCACCACCATGCCTGGCTAATTTTTATATTTTTAGTACAGATGGGGTTTCACTATGTTGACCAGGCTGGCCTCAAACTCCTGAACTCAAGTGATCACCTGCCTCAGCCTCCCAAAGTGCTGGGATTACAGACGTGAGCCACTGCGCCCAGCCTACTAGCTTTATGCAATGGGAGAATCAATATTGTTAAGAACGTCAATTTTTCTCAAATTGATCTTCAGATTCATTGCTATTGCAATTCAAATCCAAGCAGCTTTTTGTAGAACTGACAAGCTACTAATTCTAAAATCTATATGTAAACACAAAGGATCTAAGAGAGCTAAAACGATCTTGGGAAAGAGAAAAAACAAAAAACAAAGTTGAAAGACTGGCACAACCTGATTTCAAGACATACTATAAAGCCTTAAGAGTTAAGATCTTGCTCGTTAGTTGATGCAGTTTCTTCCTAGCCTCGATGGTCTTTACAATTTGGCATGTTTTTGCAGTGGCTGGTACCGGTTGTTCCTTTCCATGTTTAGTGCTTCCTTCAGGAGCTCTTTTAGGGCAGGTCTGGTGGTGACAAAATCTCTCAGCATTTGCTTGTCTGTAAAGGAGTTTATTTCTCCTTCACTTATGAAGCTTAGTTTGGCTGGATATGAAATTCTGGGTTGAAAATTCTTTTCTTTAAGAATGTTGAATATTGGCCCCCACTCTCTTCTGGCTTGTAGGGTTTCTGCCGAGAGATCAGCTGTTAGTCTGATGGGCTTCCCTTTGTGGGTAACCCGACCTTTCTCTCTGGCTGCCCTTAACATTTTTTCCTTCATTTCCACTGTGGTAAATCTGACAATTATGTGTCTTGGAGTTGCTCTTCTCGAGGAGTATCTTTGTGGTTTTCTCTGTATTTCCTGAATTTGAATGTTGGTCTGCCTTGCTAGATTGGGGAAGTTCTCCTGGATAATATCCTGCAGAGTGTTTTCCAACTTGGTTCCATTCTCCCCGTCACTTTCAGGTACACCAATTACACGTAGGTTTGGTCTTCTCACATAGTCCCATATTTCTTGGAGGCTTTGTTCATTTCTTTTTATTCTTTTTTCTCTAAACTTCTCTTCACGCTTCATTTTATTCATTTCGTCTTCCATCGCTGATACCCTTTCTTCCAGTTGATCGAATCGGTTACTGAGGCTCGTGCATTCGTCACATAGCTCTCGTGCCATGGTTTTCAGCTCCATCAGGTCCTTTAAGGACTTCCCTGCATTGGTTATTCTAGTTATCCATTCATCTAATTTTTTTTCAAAGTTTTTAACTTCTTTGCCATTGGTTCGAACTTCCTCCTTTAGCTCGGAGTAGTTTGATCTTCTGAAGCCTTCCTCTCTCAACTCATCAAAGTCATTCTCTGTCCAGTTTTGTTCCGTTGCTGGTGAGGAGCTGCGTTCCTTTGGAGGAGGAGAGGCACTCTGATTTTTAGAGTTTCCGGTTTTTCTGCTCTGTTTTCTCCCCATCTTTGTGGTTTTATCTACCTTTGGTCTTTGATGATGGTGACGTACAGATGGGTTTTTGGTGTGGATGTCCTTTCTGTTTGTTAGTTTTCCTTCTAACAGTCAGGACCCTCAGCTGCAGGTCTGTTGGAGTTTCCTGGAGGTCCACTCCAGACCCTGTTTGCCTGGGTATCAGCAGCGGTGGCTGCAGAACAGCAGATATTGTTGAACCGCAAATGCTGCTGCCTGATCGTTCCTCTGGAAGTTTTGTCTCAGAGGAGTACCTGGCTGTGTGAGGTTTCAGTCTGCCCCTACTGGGGGGTTGCCTCCCAATTAGGCTACTCAGGGGTCAGGGACCCACTTGAGGAGGCAGTCTGCCCATTCTGAGATCTCAAGCATAGGCATGGACAAGGACTTCATGTCTAAAACACCAAAAGCAATGGCAACAAAAGCCAAAATTGACAAACGGGATCTAATTAAACTAAAGAGCTTCTGCACAGCAAAAGAAACTACCATCAGAGTGAACAGGCAACCTACAAAATGGGAGAAAATTTTTGCAGCCTACTCATCTGACAAAGGGCTAATATCTAGAATCTACAATGAACTCAAACAAATTTACAAGAAAAAAACAAACAACCCCATCAAAAAGTGGGTGAAGGATATGAACAGACACTTCTCAAAAGAAGACATTTATGCAGCCAAAAAACACATGAAAAAATGCTCATCATGACTGGCCATCAGAGAAATGCAAATCAAAACCACAATGAGATACCATCTCACACCAGTTAGAATGGCGATCATTAAAAAGTCAGGAAACAACAGGTGCTGGAGAGGATGTGGAGAAACAGGACACTTTTACACTGTTGGTGGGACTATAAACTAGTTCAACCATTGTGGAAGTCAGTGTGGCAATTCCTCAGGGATGTAGAACTAGAAATACCATTTGACCCAGCCATCCCATTACTGGGTATATACCCAAAGGATTATAAATCATGCTGCTATAAAGACACATGCACATGTATGGTTATTGTGGCACTATTCAAAATAGCAAAGACTTGGAACCAACCCAAATGTCCAACAATGATAGACTAGATTAAGAAAATGTGGCACATATACACCATGGAATACTATGCAGCCATAAAAAATGATGAGTTCATGTCCTTTGTAGGGACACGGATGAAGCTGGAAACCATCATTCTCAGAAAACTGTAGCAAGGACAAAAAATCAAACACTGCATGTTTTCACTCATAGGTGGGAATCGAACAATGAGAACACATGGACACAGGAAGGGGAACATCACACACCGGGGACGGTTGTGGTGTCGGGGGAGAGGGGAGGGATAGCATTAGGAGATGTACCTAATGCTAAATGACGAGTTAATGGGTGCAGCACACCAACATGGCACATGTATACATATGTAACAAACCTGCACGTTGTGTACATGTACCCTAAAACTTAAAGTATAATAATAATAAAAAAAAGAGTTAAGATCTTGCATAAAGAATATACAAAATGATCAGTGAGAAGAAGAAAGTCTAAAAATAAACCCACACTTATATGGTCAACTGAATTTCAATTAAAAATTCTAAAACAAATCAAGGAAAAAGGAAAATTTTCTCAGTAAATGGTATTAGAAAAATTTGAATAATCTTCTGGGGAAAAATTAACTTAGACCATGTCCTCACAATATATAGAAAAATTTAAATGATATGGATCATAGATCTAAACAA
The DNA here is from genome assembly GCF_000001405.40 of Homo sapiens. Taxonomy (NCBI): domain Eukaryota; kingdom Metazoa; phylum Chordata; class Mammalia; order Primates; family Hominidae; genus Homo; species Homo sapiens. Next base: position 174,435,404 of record NC_000001.11, on the reverse strand, counting down.
AAAAAAATTGAAACTGCAAATATATAGCTTCTAAAGGAAAACATTCTAGAAGAAGAATGTCTTCATAACTTAAGGATAGACAAAGATGAACAGGTGCAGTGGCTCACACTTATAATCCCAGCACTTTGGGAGGCCTAACGAGGAGGATCACTTGAGCCCAGGAGTTCAAGACAAGCCTGGGCAACATAGCAAGACCTTGTTCGTACCAAAAACAAAATTTAGCTGGGTGTGGTGGTGCACACCTGTAGTCTCAGCTACCTGCAAGCTGAGGCAGGAGGACTGCTTCAGTCCAGAGTTCTAAGCTACAGTGAGCTATGGTCATGCCAACACACTCCAGCCTAGGTGACAGAGCAAGACTGTGTCTCTTAAAAAATAGACAAAGACTTATTAGGATACTGGAAGCAATAACTATAAAAAAGTTTAATAAAATATACTTAAAATAAATGTTCTGCTTAGCAAAAGACATCATTAAGAAAATCAGCAAGCCAAAGACAGTATTAGCAAAACATATGTCTAACAAAGGAGTTGCATCCAAAATATATAACTGACTCCTACAATTTGTTAATATGAATACAAATAATCCAATTAAAATGGTGAAAAAACTGGAAGACACTTCACAAAAGAAGATATACAAATAACCATTAAGAAAATGAAAAAATGCTCAGCACCCACAGTCATCAGGAAAAGGCAAAATAGATGAGATACCAATATACACCCACAATGAGATACCAATATATACCCACTAGAATGGCTAAAACTAAAAGACTGACAGTACAATGTTGGTAGGGATATAGAACAACTGAAACCATACACTGCTGGTAGTAGTGTAAAATGGCTCAACTTTGAAAACTTTGACAAACAGTTTGGAATTTTCTTATGACATTAAAAGAAAATCTACCCTATCTCTCCCATCAATTCCTTCCAATAGAAAGGAAAACATATTGTCCACAAAAGACTTGCATAAAAATCTTCATAGCAGTATGTATAAAAATGAAATAGCCAAAACCAGAAACAGCCCACGCACATCCATCAACAGGGGAATGAATAAACAAACCGTGATATTTCCATACAATGAAATATAGCAATGAAAAGGAACAACACTAAAGACACACATAACATGGATGAATCTTAAAACTAAAGGAAAGAAGCCATACATTGAAGAATACACATTGCATGATTTTATATGAAGTTCTGAAATGGGAAAAACTAATTTTTGCTGAAAGAAATCAGAACCCTAGTTGCCCCAGGCAGGGTGTGTGTGTGTGTGTGTGTGTGTGTGTGTGTGTGTGTGTGTGTATGTGTACACGCATGCGCTCATGTGCACACATGTACCAGTCAAGACTGGCAAGAGGTATGAGGGAACTTTCAGGGAAGAGGGAAACATTCTGTATCTTGATACATGTGGTTACACACATGCATGCATGTCAAAGCTCATTAAAATGTATCATTTAAGACCTGTGTAAGTTATAGCTGAAGAGACTGAAAAGGCTGAGATGGCATTTGCATGTAATCAAGTGTTCGAGTTCTGTGTAAAGCCACGAAATGAGAGCCCTAAATTATTTGAGTGAATTTTAAGGCATTGCCAGGAAATTATATAGTATAATGATATTTAAAAAGAAACATACCAGAATCCTTTGTAGCAATGTGCCATAAAGAATGAGAGCTACTAAAATGTCTAAAAGAACAGATACTGGTGGATGGAGTAAGTATATCCAGCCTGCACATACTTTCACACTCAATCAGTATATCTGACTCATGGCTCAGTGTTTGTACTCAAGACACAACAGCCCAGCTGCAAGTGAGACACTGAGAAAAGACATATCAAATGCCAGTTATACAACACTTTGAGACTGCCCTAGCTAGCTGAGATCTAAGACAATGGGCCAAGTAAGCAAAAACTTTGAGAGGTTCCACTATGTTTCTCGATCATAAAGAAAAATGGAGACAAAAATACTAATTTACGTGTATATTTACCACCTTCTTAGTGGGAGAAAGTCTCAAACACAAAATATGTGTTTAAAACAAAATTAATAGGTCAAAACAGTATGCAGAGCAATAAAATAAAACCATACACAGTATGACCTTTCTTCTCATATTTTCCTCTAGGTATGTTATTACCTTTAATAAACATTTATTAAGTTTGAAGACAAGGAGATACTATGACTTAGAGGAAAGAATGTAGGCTTTATAGTCAGACAGATTTGGGTTGGCATGATGGCTGCACCACTCATTAACTATGAGGCCTTGGGTATATCTTTCTCTCCATGTATCTCAGCTTCTATCTTTAAAATGGAGATAATAATACTTACCTTTAAAAGTTGGTTATGAAAACTAAAACTTAAAGCATGTAAAGCATACAGTGGCTATTCATTCAAAGCTCACTGATAGTAAGATAAGCATATTATTTTACCATCAGTAAGATTTCTATCTAATCGTTTTTCCTTCAGAAACTGCAACCACAGGTAACATGCTGAGTTTTGGAAATTAATAATAACACTTTCTCTTTTCTATTGAATTGCCAACTCCCTCACCATTCCTTTTTTAAAGTACATTAAAGAAAAGAAATATCAGCCAGGCACAGTGGCTCACGCCTGTAATACTAGCACTTTCAGAGGCCGAGGCAGGTGGATCACGAGGTCAAGAGATCAAGACCATCCTGGCCAACATGGTGAAACCCTGTCCCTACTGAAAATACAAAAATTAGCTGGGCATGGAGGCGCACGCTTGTAGTCCCAGCTACTCAGGAGGCTGAGGCAGGAGAATTGCCTGAACCCAGGAGGCAGAGGTTGCAGTCAGCTGAGATCATGCCATTGCACTCCAGCCTGGTGACAGTGAGAGACTCCTTCTCAAAAAGAAAAAAAGAAAGAAAAGAAAAGAAATATCATTGTCTGAACCTGACCATGTTTTTTAGGAAAATCCTGTGATTAGCAATAAAGTAACATAAAAATTACCAAGGCTTAGTCTACGAAAACCTAAGGTACGTGGATCTTACATTTCCCAGATAAATGGGGGGCTTTTTAAAATTGATTTTTAATATTATGTTTTATGCTAGCAGACTGGACAAAGAAATGTGGTACACAGACAACATGCGATACTACACAGCCATAAAAAATTAAATCATATCTTTTGCAGGAGAATGGATGCGACCAGAGGCTATTATCCTAAGCAAATTAATGCAAGAATAGAAAACCAAAAACCCATGTTCTCACTTGTAAGTAGGAAGTAAATATTGGGTACTCATGGACATAAAGATAGCAACAATAGATGCTGGGAACTAATAGAGTTAGGAAGGAGAGAGGAAAGTAAGGCTTAAAAAACTATGGGTACTATGCTCACTACCTGGGTGAAGGGATCAACCATACCCCAAACCTCAGCATCATGCAATATTCTGATGTGACAAACCTGCATGTGTATCCCTGAATCTTAAATAAAAGTTGAAACTATTTCTTTAAAAAAGAAAAAGAAAAATGATCCCAAGTTTTTAAAAAAAAATTGTTTTACTCTATTACATTAGGCATCTAAATTCTTAAAAGATGTATTATCTATTCCTCTGTCTTCTTAAACCAAGAATTCTGACATAATTTAATATTTGGTAGCCTAGGATCATCACTATTAACATCAATTCGAATACTGTCTTCTGATACAATCATACCTTTGTAGCTGCTGGATTTGTTTGATTTCCATAAGAATTAGGTACCTTAAAAATAATACATAACTCTATATTTTATGAATCTATGTGCATAGCAAACACAGCATAGCCCCTCCTTCCTGTTCTAATTTGCTGTCCTTATTTTCTAGAGGCTTCTGTATCAGAAACTAAGCTTATAAGAATTTTTTCTCAAAGAGCAAATAAAGGTAACTGCTCTATGAGTAAAGTGCCATAGCTCAGGCTTAAGCTGTCAGTTATTTCCAGATAAGTGAGGAGGTACCTGTTTTAGTATGGCAACAGGTATGAAAATACACTTAAAAATAACACAGGAGAAAAGGAAATTTCAACGTTTCTTACATTTCCCATGGCTTACAACTATCCATTAATCACGATCTTTTCCTGCTTTATAAACTAACAAATCTGGAAATTAAATTTTTTATATCATTTCATTTTTATATCAATGAAATCCCATAAAAATTAGAATTATCTCATAGAAAGGGTTCAAAACAGCTGTATCCCTTCAACTTTTGTACAGTAAAAACAGAGAGAGAAAAGTTGAACCTTAAGATATTTCCTACAAAAGTCTGCTAAAATTGTATGAAAACAGAAGAGCACAGACCCATTTTAAATAATGGGTTCACATTATAGGTAAGAAGTGTTGGTTCACATTCATTTTTAATTAAAAGAAAATTTTCTCTTATAAAAGAAAATTGCTATTTTTTAGGATATCTTATTGTTATGGCAACTGAAGTGCTAAAAATAATAAAGAAATATCAAAGTTGTTATAGCAACTAGAATTTTAAAAAGCCATGAAGTATAGAATGATCAAACCTTGGCTTGAAATGCAACATCTATGACTCAGTTTTCAAAAGAAAACTTGAAATACTCATGCTCTTGTCTTTATGAGATGTCTCTGCAGTCCAAGTTAAAAAACAAAAAACAAAATCTTAATCATGAGTTTAATTATTTTTTATATCACTTATATCTTTCATCATTCTACACATATTCAACAATGTGGCTTTAGACAACCCTACATATTACTGACTTCCAAGAACAGTGGGAAATGTTGAGCACTGAATAAATGTCTGTTAAACTGAACTCTAACTATTAGGTTTGTGTGAAATTTGGATTTTTCTGCTCTTCTAACTTGCTTTCATACTTCCAGTCTTGAATGCTCTGCCCTAGAATACACTAAAAATGGAAAAGATTTACTTACTGCCAACATGTTGTGCCCAGATTCATGCAATTAGCGTTCAATTAAATTAAAATGTTAATGAAGGTCTATTGCATGCTAGGTATTGTTTGAGGTCTGGAACCCTATTCTCACAGAAAAAACAAAATCATGAGGGTGCTATAAGAAGTGGTAAGGCCTTTGAAAAAAAATTTTTTTTTTTTTTTCAGACAGAGTCTGGCTCTGTCATCTAGGCTGGAGTGCAGTGGTGCGATCTTGCCTCCTCCGGGCTCAAGCAATCCTCCCACCTGAGCCTCTGGGACTACAGGCATGTACCACCACACCCGGCTAATTTCTGTATTTTTTGTAGAGATGGAGTTTCAACATGTTGCCCAGGCTGGTCTCATCCTGAGCTCAAGCAAACTGCCCGCCTCGGCCTCCCAAAGTGCTGGAATAACAAGGGTGAGCCACTGCACGCAGCCCTGTGAAGGGTTTAAGCTAAGAAGTAGCCCAAATTAATTCATTTTCCCCAGAGATGCCTTATTGGGAAATACAATTTTAAATTTACATGCTTTGTATCAAAAAATCAAGAAGCATCTTTAGTTTCATATGTTCCTTGCTAATAACTAGTGACCAAAATTCAGTAACAAATGTAGTAATATATGTTGCTAACATGACACATTTCCCCAGTATTTATAGACTAACTTGGCTGGAAATGGCTGGAAACAGACCCCTATGCATGTCTCTCCATACCTTTCTGCTTTATTTATACCCTCTATGTGTCTCCTTTGTTTCCCCCTAAATCCACTGGTTTATCTTTATTTTTATTTTTATTTTTTTTTTTTGAGATGGAGTCTTGCTCTTGTCACCCCGGCTGGAGTGCAATGGCACAATCTCGGCTCACTGCAACTTCCGCCTCCCGGGTTGAGGCGATTCTCCTGCCTCAGCCTCCTGAGTAGCTGGGATTACAGGTGCCCACCACCATGTCTGGCTAATTTTTGTATTCTTAGTAGAGACGGGGTTTCACCATGTTGCCAGGCTGGGCTCGAGCTCCTGACCTCGTGATCCACCCGCCTCAGCCTCCAAAAGTGCTGGAATTACAGGCATCAGCCACCGTGCCCGGCCCTCCATTGGTTTATCTTATGAGCTAGTAAAGAAGACTTGAGAAGCTGGGCTTGGTGGGAAAGAGTGCCATGGATTTTCCTTAGACCTAGAAAGGGGCTTGTTGGTTAGGGAAAGCCTGTTATATATATTATAGATCCTCATAACTCTGTAGAAATATAATGCCTTCAAAAAACACAAATGCCCTTCCTTTAACTATCTTATCCAGTGAAGAAGACGACTAGTGATGGCCACTATTATTTTAAAGCTAGCCTAATATAATTCTATTGCCTTTCATTAAAATAAATATTACTATCCTTTAGATTAATGATTTACAATACCCTGCTTTATTCTACTCCATGCTTACCAGCATCACACAATAAAATCTTAATTGTCCTAGTTTTTAAAAAAGGAATTGCAAGCACTGAAAAAGCACCAGAAAAAGAACCTAATTTAATTTTACATAGCTGTAATAGTGCTTTTTAAAAGAAAGCTCAAAAAAAAATCTGTGTTGTAGCTCTCAGTATCATATTCACACTGTCAGCAGTAATTTATTTTCTGGAAGACAACCTAATTTATAACATTAGATTAATATGGCAAATATACATTTTTATTGATTTTATAGTTTGCTTCTAATAGATTATGGTCATGAGAGTTAAGAGTATAGTTTGCATTTAATTGTATATCTCCATGTATTTAGATAACACTGGATAAAATACACACACCCAACACTGGATAAAATACACACACTCAACACTGGTGAAAAGAGGGTCTTTGAGGACTTTTTTTTTCCCGATGAAATGGTTTGGCATATTTTTCAAAGTTGAAAACCCTGACACAAATAGTAGAATTTTTAAAAAATATCTCTTAATAACGATTAAGTACTCTGGCAATGCAAGTGAAAGTGAAGGCAAAGCTAAAGAACACTATTTAAATAAGTTGATAATAAACTAACTTAATTTTTGAGTTTACAGTGCCCACTGAGGTTTGGAAAATCTCCAACTACAAATCATTATGAAGAGATAAAGGGTTAGAGAGAATAAAGTTAATAATAAGATTCTCATTTAAACATACATTTGCTTTGTACAAGAAAGCACTAAAGAAATGTCTTAACTGTTATGCCCTCCTCTACACTTCCCCCATACCTCGTTTCCATCCAATACACTGCATTGTCAGCTCCTAGACCTAGATAATTGTCTCGCTTATCTCTGTATCACTCAGGGAGCCTAACACATAGTGCTTCAATCATACGTACTCAGTGCATGTTTGTTGAAAGGATAATGTTTCTGTTGACTCAGCATTTCTGTCCCAAAGATCTCATAATATGTTGTAACAGACATTACTAACTTTATAAAAATGATGTATGGCTTACTCAAGATTATACTGTATTAAATATATGATGAAAGATGAAATGCCAGCAGAAAGAAATGGTATGAAAACCTTCTAACTCTCAGACCAGGGATGTATTCACTAGAAGATCAAAAAGACCGTACTGCAGGGACCCGAAATAATTTACTAAGCAATTCCATTGACTAACCAACACAGGTCTGAGTGTGCTTGATCATCTTCTTCACTAGGCAGTGGAGCTCCTCTGATAACATATTTCATTGCTGTTATCCTCAGTGGCAAGTACAGTGCCTGGCACACAGTAGAAGGTAATAATATTTGCTAAATAAATCAGGTGGACTGATTAGTGTCCCTTTCCTGTTGAACATCAACATAAAATATTATTTTATATAGTAGGTGTCTTATCTAGAATAAACACCAGGATTCTTTTAAAATATCAGAAATTGGGGTGGCTTAAAACCACCCAGAATATAAAGCTGTTTAAAAGAAAGCTAAAAATACTAAACTTTCTCATCATTCTATCTAGGGGAATAAGAAAAATGAGAAATCAAAGGAACTGACCTACATATGCCAGTACAACTTCCTTTTTCATCAGGCAGTTTCAAAGCTAAGTGGCTAAAGTGATTAGGTAGCATAGGGAACAACTCAGAACACTGAACCTTTGACAGAAATCCCTTTTTAAGAGACAGAAATTGGGAAAGGAAAGAATAAATACATTAGGCTGTTTCTAAGACATGCTTAAGAGAGAAATGAAGTTGCTAAACTGGCAGAAGCCCGGTAAGAAATATCTCTATTGAGAAGGAGTCAAAATCAAAAAAAGAAAATTTGATTAAAAACTGAATTAGAAGATCGAAGTTGGGATCAGCAATCATCTTGGGTAATTTTTGGCCCACTAAGCAGCACAATGCAATAATGTTTATAAACTACAGACTTCAGAAATAAAATCAATGTTCACACACACACACACACACACACACACACACACACACACATAAACATGCGGAGGTTTATGTTAAACAGAGGTTTCATAGAGGTTTATATCACAGAGGTTAAATGTTACTGTTAATCTAACACTAACATCTCCACCATGCCAGCTTCAAACCAGCTATGCTCTAGATTTTTTCAGTGATGACCACAACACAGGCTAAAGCTTTGATAAGTGTGGCTCTGCAACATGGACCCATATTACATATTGTTATGATTGACTGATCTTCCCATTCACTTTCTGTTACGTATCTCTACTTTCAGATGCTGAAATAACTAGGTACACACGCAGCATAAAATAGACTCACAGCAACACTTATTCAAATAGTAAAGCTTTTTTAGAATAAATATAATTTTTTCAGAGAAAAATATGACTTTGGCTAAAAGTACATTCTCATAGGATCTAAATGTACTAATAAGATGGTAAATTGGGTATTTAAAAATCAGAACACTAACACCAAGTAACTTACAGTCAACATTTACTCTAGGAAAAAAGTGCTCATAAAATGTTATTCACTATCCAATATTCTGATGTTGCTTATAAGATAAATCGACTTCTAGTTCTTTTCTTCTTTCATTATATATAAAGTATTTCCAGTCTATGCTTTTTGAATAATATCAAGATCTTGGGGTCTCAACTCCCCAATATTTTATCAGTTTTCATAGGGCAAAGACATATATTAAGACGTATTTGTAATAGAAAAGTTTTGGAAAATTTTAGGAAACCATTTATCTAATATCTATATTATGTTTTTATACTTGTTGACTTGATAGCCTTAATAGTTTAAATGCTTACATATGCAAATATTATCGGGCTACCAAAAGACAGCTTCAGAAATGTGAGAGAATCTAGTTATAGTAATGGGTTGAATTACATTTTCCTTAATAACTACTTTTATAAATGTACCGCCCAAGCTGAATGTCATTATGGGACTATTTATAATTTAAATCTTGCTGTCAAGATAATTTTATGTCCTGACATGGCACTGAGTAGGCTGGAAACAGCTGTATGCCCTGAAGGGAAACAAAATTGTTGGTGGTGTTCAAGTGTAAAGGTATTAAATAGGCAGTATTTCCTACAGAACTTTATGAGAACAATGATTGATTGTAAAATAGCAAAACTGTATCACTCAAGTAATTACAACGATATTCAACAAATAACTTTTCTTCCCTCTAAATAGAAGAAACTTATTTATAAATATAGTTCAAATCCTTTGAACTTGCTAATAAACTAGACGTATGGCAGTTACAACTAACATTTGTTTATATGTGTACGAAATGGGTGTTTAAAAAGTTTTGGAAATTTTCAGAAGAACCATTTACCCAATATCCCTGGAATGTCTTTATATCTGTAAATTTTAACTTCACATAAAAAATGGTTTTAACCAACATGAACAGAGTTAAAAGAAACTTCAATTATTAAGTAACACAGGCATACACTGTATTAATGGAAAATATGTCTAAACCGCATCATTAATAAAATATAACAGACAAGACAGTGAGACTAAGGTGTTTGTTTCTGTTTTGTTTTACTTATCCGATTTTATAAAACTCTGTTAGTATAAAGACCATTAAGTTATGTCTAATTTGTTCCTCACATTTTGGGGGATTTCATGAGAATCTAAGTTTGTGACAAATTCTAAATTCACTTGTTGCAAATATTCTTCATATCTTTGCCAAACACTACTGGAAATAACAGAGGAAAGTTCTAGTCCACTTATTCACTGGATGACAGAGAGAAATTCACAGCTTCTCCCAGTCCTAAATGGCTATCTGTCTTATTTTTTAAAGTGACATGCTTACCACCTGAAGCATGCAATAGCAAGATTAGATGTCTTTAAGTTCTTGAGAGCTCTGAAATGTTTACATTCAAAAAGGTGCCTGTTAAGATGTGCAGATATTATAAATGTGGGCTGAGACACAAAGACTGTACACATAATAGTTACAGAAAACTACTGGTAAAGGATAACATCCTACACTATCTATTGGTTATACAGGTCAAATCCAGTTACAGCAAATGCTACAACAAATTCCAATGAAAAACCTCGGCATGACCAAAAGATTCCCAATGCTATAGTTTATGATATACACATCTCAAATAGTATTTTGTATATAATAATGTTCTATACCAACCAAAACCAGCAACAAAATAAAATGTAAAACATCCTATTATTTGCTTGTTCTGACCAATAATGACAGTTTAACCCATTCTGTTCTAAATGCTTAAAGATAATCCTATTGTTGGCTTATTTTAATTCCACAAAAAATTTGGATCCAATTGTATCTTACAATTTTATAATAGTAATAATTCCAATAAAGTGTTAATCATGTGCACAAATAAAATATAAATTGTGTCATGAATGATGTGATATACAAGTCAATAAAATGTGTTAAATTCAGCTTCAATTTTTCTCTGGAAAAAAAGAATAAATGTATTAATGACTAAAATTTATTCCTGTTTTTCATAGTAGCAATAAGACAATTGAGAAAGTGTGTGATTTCCAGGTGATTACTACATTGCATGTGGTTAAAATTACTCAGCACCTTCTTCTAGCACCTTTTCAATTTCTATAAAGAAAACAAAAAGCCAACTGCTGCCAAACTTTGTTTTAAAACATGGTTGTTGTTAGAGGTCCTAATTAAAGTTTGAAATATATATGACGAAAATGTTCCTAAAAGCCAATGCAGTGTATATTTTTTCATATTATCAAAAAGCATTTAATAACTACAGAAACAGAAATGACTTACATTTGAGGAAAGAAATAAAAGTCTGCATTTCACTAATTTTGAACATCACACTGAGAACAGAAAAGTAGCAAGACTTACAGCTATTAGCCAATATCTCTACTTAAGCTAAAGGCACAAAGTCTGAAAATAAGGCACATAAAGGTTGGTATTGTCATACCACAGTACATCTTATTTTAGGTCAACACGACTGAAGACAGGAATTTTATAACTCTTCTTTGGTAGTGGGTCGGAAAAAAAGAAGATATATCCTATATGCTAGGTAGGCCATAAAAACCATAGACACATATTTTCCTTCATCATTCAGTAAACTTCTTTCTTGAAAGTCTACTATATGCTATGCTTTCTTTGTGATCTCCTTTGGTCTTGGTCAACTTCTTGGCCTTTATACCACTCTTATAAACTGTGGCAATTTTTCCTTTAGAAACAAGGGGGCTAACTTGTCAGATCATTTGCCTCTGGCCTACATATCCCAAAATATTTTTTTTCTCTGTTTCTAAAAACAGAGAAAGTTTGGTTCCAAACAGATGTCATATATAAATCAAAAGTAAAATGAACATTAAATCTATCTTCTGTACTTAAATTACCTACAGAAGTTGTTCCAAAATTAGATTTGAGGGTTTGGCAGAAGATAGAATATAGCTTTTACAGAATAGCATTCCCTATAAGAAAGGGAGGAAAAAAGGGAGGGAGAAAGCGAACTAGGAAGGAGCAAACAAAGAAATCTTCAAAAGACCTCCAAAAGGGTTTAGAGAAAATTGGTTAAATATAAATATTTATAATGTGTTTTCATCCCAAGGCATATTACTTAGCATGTAAATAGCCCTTTTGGCCCAGAAGTCTTTTAAATTTTTTTATCAGTTGACTCATAATTCAAAATGCAGGTATACGGCATTTTGGAAATATTATGCAGTTCATTTGAGATTAGAGAAAAAGCAGTTTTATTCATAGTACATTTTCCAGAACAGAATAAAGAAGCAAAAGTCCAAAGGACATCAGATGCTGCCAAAAGATATTTTTTACATTCATTATTTGTTGATTCAATAAAGTGTTGAGTGCTTCCTACGACATCAGATGCAGTCTAAAGACACAAAGTAAAAATATTGGTGAGCTAATAATAAATGTATATTGTATATTGTTGAATTCATCTCTAAACAACAAAAGATAGTGCAATATTAAAAAAATGGACACAATTTAGAGTTAGAGATTTGGGTGACAGCTTTAGATCCTACATTACTTATGTAACCCATACAAATAATTTTTTGTACCTTTAGATCTTTTTCATTTCAAAAAAGGGAAATACACTGATAATGAATACTGCTTATATCAGATGGCTAGCTGAAAGGTTAAATGAAATTATATTTATGAAACATTTTGGGAAAAAAGTGTGCTAAAAAATGTCACTATTCACTATTTTTAGCTATAATGGTTCAAAAAAAATTTTTTTTTTTTTTTTTTTTTTGGACAGAATCTCACTCTATCACCCAGGCTAAAGTGCAGTGGCATGATCTCGGCTCACTGCAACCTCCACCTCCGGGGTTCAAGCGATTCTCGTGCCTCAGCTTCCCAAGTATCTGGGATTACAGATGTGTGCTATCACACCAGCTAATTTTTGTATTTTTAGTAGAGACAGAGTTTCACCATGTTGGCCAAGCTGGTCTCAAACTCCAGACCTCAGGTGATCCGCCTGCCTTGGCCTCCCAAAGTGCTGGGATTACAGGCCACCGTGCTCAGCTAGAGAAAAAAAATCTTAAACTAGATTTTAATCAGAGAAGAATGGTTACCTGACTGATTTAAGATTAATTCATATAACTTCTCTTGGGCCTGTATTTGCATATCAATAAAAGGGGATAGAATTATTACTGGCCTAACTCATAGGGCTTTTATAAGGATAAAATTAGAAAGTATATGGAAATAACCTTATAAACTATGAATGTCTGTGAAATATGAATGAGTATTCTTATTATTATAAATTTTATTTTCTATTCCTAAAAACTGTTTTTGGAAGTTGGTCGAATGTTTAAAAAAAAATCTACTTAAATCTTGATGATCCTTATTATCTAGCACAGGCAGCCTAGATACAAGACAATTCTTACCCAATAGGCAGAGAAGATTTTCTGGTTTGTTTCATGTATAATATATATAAAATAGAAGAAACCACAGAATCAGTGCAAAATGAAAATACAGGGCCCTTGTTCAAAAGCCATTAAGCGTATCAAGATAGCAATAGTAGAACATTTAATGAAACACAGGATCTTTCTAAGTACGGGTACCTATGCAACAACATAGGTCACATGCCTATGAAACCAATCCTGGAATGATGATAAACTTTCATCAGAGGCTGGGCGTGTTGGCTCACACCTGTAATCCCAGCACTTTGAGAAGCTGAGGCAGGCAGATCACCTGAGGTCAGGAGTTCAAGACCAGCCTGGCCAATATAGCGAAACCCTGTCTCTACTAAAAATACAAAAATTAGCCAGGCATGGTGGCACATGCCTGTAATCCCAGCTACTCAGGAGGATAAGGCAGGAGAATCACTTGAACCCAGTATGCAGAGTTTGCAGTGAGCCGAGATCGTGCCACTGTACTCCAGCCTGGGCAACAGAGTGAGACTCCGTCTCAAAAACAAAAACACACAAAACAAACAAACAACAACAAAAAACACAAACTTTCATCAGGCAGTATGAAGACCAGAGGGCAGTGGAACATTTTCAAAATGCTGAAAGCAAAAACTGTCAACTCAGTAGTCCAGTGAAAACACCCTGCAAGAATAAAGAATAAAGGCAAAATAGAGAATGTTCAAATAAAGGAAATCTAAGAGAAGTTTTCACCAACAGACCTGAACCATAAGAAGTGCTAAAAAAATTATTTCAGGCTCAAGAGAAATGACAGCAGAGAGAAACTTAGATTTTGGGAATGAATGAAGAACACTGAAAATAGTTTAAAAATTCTGGATTTTATTCTATATCCTGAATATGTCACTGAAACATTTTTAAAAAGGGTTCTTCAGCTGCACTGTAGAGAACAGGCTATAGGGAAGGAGTGTGTAAAAAAACAAAGATGGAAATGTGAATACCATTTTGAAAGCTGTTGTTGCCTAGGAAAAAGATGTACGTAAGACTCTAACGGTAGCAAAGAAGATGGAGAAGGCCCATTTTTGAATCCCAGTTGTAACATAAGCCTATGCTCTTTCCAAATATAGTGGACTACCCTTCAAGATAAAAAAAAATATGAAGTGTCATCTCAGTTTGTGATAGTAGCAGAAGATGAAGCTTAGCTTGTCTTCATTCTGTCCCAGAAGGGTCCCTAGAAACACATTCACATCATTATATACTTTTGTAAAATTTGCACCCACACCCACAATGGGATCTTGTCCTTAAAGAGCTGTTGCCTCCAAATTATATAAGCTTCATGCCCTATAAAACCTGAATCCAGCCAGGCGCGGTGGCTCACACCTGTAATCCCAGCACTTTGGGAGGCCAAGGAGGGCAGATCATGAAGTCAGGAGATCGAGACCATCCTGGCGAACACGGTGAAACCCCATCTCTACTAAAAATACAAAAAAATTAGCCGGGCGTGGTGGCGGGCGCCTGTAGTCCCAGCTACTCGGGAGGCTGAGACAGGAGAATGGCGTGAACCCAGGAGGTGGAGCTTGCAGTGAGCCGAGCTTACGCCACTGCACTCCAGCCTGGGTGACAGAGCAAGACTCCGTCTCAAAAAAAAAAAAAAACAAAACACCCAGAATCCACACTGGATACTCAAACAAAACTAAGCAGCATAAAAGGCATATCAGGAATGAAATTAAAAGCTAGTTTATAAATCCTCTTGATAATTTAGAATAATACTAGAGATGTCTTAAATGATGAATGTCATTTAAAAAGCAACCCAACATATTAAATTAGTTAACATTCAACCTAATGTTCTCTCAGTCAACAATCTAGATTAGTAAATTGTATGTTCAAGATTCATATCATTATCTCTATGTCAGTAATCAACTATATCATGAATAACATCTTAACTCTTTTTCTTCTTGGGAATGATTACTAAAAGGTAGTGAAAATAAAGAGGCTGAGTTAATGCTTTTAGTATGTGCCACTACATTTCCACAGCAAAAACACTGGCCAGGTTTTCCCAGAGAGCTGTTTGTCACAATACCTTTCTAGCTTTCTGGCTACATCTCTATCCATTTAAAAAAAAAAAAAAAAAAAGGAGGTTGGGCCTCCAAGAACCTTAAACTCTGTGTTAAACTACTAGCTCCATGATAGAACATTTTAAATTAATGTGGTTGGCTTTTTCATTAAAGCCCTCTTCTCTCAGTATATAACCCGAGAGAAGGAATGGGAAACAAAACTTTTCTTCCTGGGAAGTAAAATGTATTATGGTTTTAACTGTGTTGAATATTAATAGTATAAGAATGAAGATTCATGGAAGTAAAATCTAATTCTTGTTTCTTGGGCTCAAATGGAAAATTTAAATGCCTCTATACATGTGAAAAAAGTTAAAGAAGCAGCCGGAATCAAAAATGAAAGCGGACAGCCAAAACCCAAGAGAAAAAAACATTCAAAAGAATCATCTTCTGCTTCTTTGATTCTCTGACTTTTCTTCCTACTTTCACATCAAATAAAAGACAAATGTCAGATGATTTAGTTGTTACATAAAGCATAAATTAAGAAAAAATAACTTAAACCTTATAAGGCAAGTAACTTTAGCTCACTTTCATAGTTCATTTTATATTTATTTACATAATATTCTTTTGATAGTGAACTGTAACTATTTTAAGTTTTAAATTATACTATGTGTCCATCTTTTTACAATAACAAATTAAGCTATGAACTCTCTATTACAATGAAAGCAAACCACAGTTACAGAAAATTTTAAAAACTGTTTTAAAGAAAATAGTAAGATATAGTGTACATTTTTAGCATATTTATTTTCTTAAAACTAAAGTGAGCCAGAAATAATCTCATGAATTCACTGAGCTAATAATAATCCAAAAAATATTTCAGAAACATTCTAGAGTTTACAGTCTATGATCTAGACCCTTGGTTCAAAGTGAGATCCCTAACTAGTAGTAGTGTTGACATTGCCTGATAGCTTGTTCGAAATGAGAATCCCAAGCTCTATCCCAGATCTACTGAATTTGCATTTTAACAAGATCCGCAGGTGGTTTGAATGCACATTAAACTTTGAGATCTGTCCTAGGTAATGTTTCTGACAAATAACAGGCAGCAGTAAAATTAAAACTGAATGTAAATAAACCAAGAATAGATTATCAAAAACTAAGTACTCTAACCATTAAATCAAGACTTGAATGAAGAGAGGTATGGAATTGGTACCTTATATTGTATTCTTAATTAATTTATTTATTTAGAGATGGAGTCTCACTCTGTTGCCCAGGCTGGAGTGAAGTGGCACAATCTCAGCTCACTGCAACCTCCACCTCCTAGGTTCAAGCGATTCTCCTGCCTCAGCCTCCTGAGCAGCTGGGATTACAGGTGCACACTACCACACCTGGCTAATTTTTGCATTTTCGTAGAGACAGGGTTTCATCATGTTGCCCAGGCTGGTCTTGAACTCCTGACCTCAAGTAATCCACCTGCCTCAGCCTCCCAAAGTGCTGGGATTATAGGCATGAGCCACCGCACCCAGACTGTATTCTAAAATTTAGACACTACACAGGATTAAAATGATGAAATGTTGGTGTATAATTTTCCTGCCATATTTTCATGAGACTAAGGACTCATTAAAAATTGCTTGGAGTGCCCCTGAAGCATCATAGTGCCCCTGAAGCATCATAGAATCCTTAAAGAACCATTAAGATTACTAAGGTAAGACATGTGTTTCCCTCATATTTCAAGGACACTCCACTGCTACAGGCATTCTTATAGACTATCTCTATCCAGGATAAAAAGACATCATCATGATTTAATTATAACCATTCTCTCAAAGCATTAATGTGCCATCACAGGGACCTTACATTCAATAATTATCCAGTGACTTAAGACACCATTGTACTGGTCCAAACTGGATAGAATTTAGCAACAAGATAATTTTTCCTCTTATATGGTAAAAAATCATTCTACATTGAGTTCCATAAACAATATCTGTGGAAATAATATCTACTACCTCATTGAAACTGAACAAGACGTGTTATCTTAGGAAAGAAGGTAATTCAAGTGTCAAACTAGAATCAGTTCAGCATCATTTTGGAGTGATGTACAGCTTTCATCCATTGCCTCACATACACCAAGGAAGACAGGCACTAAGCACCGGTAAGCAACACAACCAACAAGCAAAACAAGTTCTGCATATGTGCAGCCATGCCTCAGCATTTGAAATTTCACCTCTGGAGAGCCAATAAGTTGCCTCTTAGTGTTTAGTCTGTGGAAGTACTATTTATTAATGGAAACTTTGATAAGCAATTTTATCACAATATAAAAAAATTCTCTATGATATTATGCTCCAAGTAATGTTCAGTGGAAAACATCAAAAAGAGAGTTAGAAATCACAGACACATTATTAGTAACTCCCGTTTCTATTTCCAGTTCTAAAACACATTTTCTATTTGACTTGGGCTGGGTAACTCAGCTTTTAGACTTCTATGTTAACTGTAATATTATTATTTGAAATCAATATAGTCCACTAATGAGTCACAAAAGTAAATTAATATGTGATTCTTAAAACGACTGTGTTAAATACACACACAACAATACTTCCAGTAAGGTGAATATTTGAGTAAGTTATAGCAATTAATACAAATCCATATACCCAAAGTTTAAAACAAACTATTAAAAATATAAGCCCAGAGATACAAAACTTGAATAAAACCCATGGCTCTAGGCTTTATCACTGTTCTTGTTCAAGATACTGTCTTGTTTCCATTAGATGCATCACATATAAGTTGGGCATTTAATAAGTTTCTTCCTTTGTTTAAACAAACAAGCCAGTAGAACTGCATCTACCTATTAAAAGGCAATTACCCCCAACATTCGCAAGATTGTTTTCCCTGGCTAAGCGTGCCATGAAGTTTGTAAACATTAGACTGTAATGCAGCATCATTTGTATAAGATTTAGCACCTTGAACTATAACTGATTTGAAATACTACAATAGCACAGAATAAATTAATCCCCAATGGGCCACAATTCAAATTGGCTTCATAAAAATATGCTCAGAGTATACGTATTATGTGTCCATTAATAAATGGTGGTTGGGGACAGAAGGGTGGGAAGGATATAAGAAGAATAAGTTAAAATTCCAGTCTTCACTGAGAGTAGCTTTCCAGTTCTTACTAGGCTGGTGCAAAAGTAATTGCGGTTTTTGCCATTGAAAGTAATGCCAAAAACCTTCCTAATTCATCCAACTACTTGCTTATTTTAGAAACTAATAAACTTGTGATGGTGTATACGTATTAGGACAAACATCAAAAAAAGAAGAGGTAAAATTAACAAAAACAACATCAAGAACAATTATAAAATTCTCATTAGTTTATAATCAATTCCCGTTTGGTAAATTAAGAAACACCTCAAATCCTAGATATAATAATCATCTTACAAACACAAAGCAGCCTGGGAAACAACACATATAACACATACGTAATGCACATACTCTTGTTAAGTTAAAATACTCTCTTATATAGTAATTCTCTAAGACTTTAGTTAAGCCAAATAAACTAGTAAGTCAACAGAAATGTCAATATGATATACTTAATTCAGTAATGGTTAGATTTTTAAATTTTCATCTTGCATGACAAACACGTTTGTTTATATATATTTACATACACACTCAAATGCTGTCTACTAGGATTATATGTAAGCAGCATGGCTTGTTCCAGGATTTAAAATGTGGTAAGATTAGAAGTTAAGAAGCCTTCCAGATTGACCAAAATATTCTAACCCAATATTATTGTTTTTATGTTAATTTATACTCAACAAGTCCATTAATATTAATTTAATATTAAAGTTTATCACTACCAAATAAGGTCTGCTAAAAATCCTTAAATTACCTCTTTTAACTGGGACATAAGCAGTTAAAGAATGATGCTACAAGATGGAGTCCAAGTAGCCAGGTCTACAGTTTCTTTCTGTGGAATAGCCCAAGCAGGCAGCTGATGAGCAGTTTCCTTTTTAATAATAGTTGTTTCCTGATTAATTAGTCCCAGAACACTTAATGCAAGACTACAGTCTGCCACTGGGATGAACAATTATTCTCTTCATAGTAATAGTTAAGCATAATCTTTTTCCTAGTATTAAGCTCAATCTATTTTTTGTCCAAATGGGATATGGTCTGTCACAGCAGAAGTGAGTTGGAAAAACTGCAGCTCACAGCAAGAGACATATCATCAGGCCAAACAGGAAAAAAAAAATGTGTGTGTATATATATATATATATGTAAATTTTCTAGGGAAATTCCTTAAGTACTTAATTTAAGGTTCTGGTATAGTTTATGCAGAAAGTCTTGATTTTAAATAGTATAAAATAAAGATCAATAAGCATTTTGAATCCCAGGTCAAATTTATAAGACTGAATGAGTCAAAAATTATGTGAACATACCAGAATCACCCCTGCAAATACTTGAGCTTTGAAAATAAGATCTGAGGTCCCTGGAAAGTAAAGAAAGAAAGCTACAGTAACATCGATTAAAGAATCTCTATGAAGAAATGGAGCCTTACTTAGAATATCTAAATGCCAACTAGACAGATGGGTAGAAAAATTAAGATAAGCTTTCAATCCAAAATTGCCATTCTACTTCACACCAGAACTGAAGATATAAAGAGCAAAATGAAAATTGCTCCTTTTCACATCATTTTTGCAGGTATCAAGGTAGAAGCGTCATGATGCTGTCTTCAAAAAATTTGTCACCTATTAAAAGATTAAGCAGTTTTCATAAACATGTCAGAGATCAGCTTCTCAAAGTGCAAAAGTGACTGAATTTTCCTGACTTTAGTAACAATTAAAGCTCTCTCCTATGGAAAAAAAAAGTATGCATATCCATGATATTCCAATCCAGCAATACAAACATTCTTAGCAACTTTTACTGAGCCTGTTCATCACTTATTAGGAATAAAAATGTTTGTATGTAGAAAATTGAAGTCTATTATGTGCTTAATGGAAGTATTACTGATAAAATAAATTGTTAATCTAGAAAATGTAAAGATTTAATACAGGGAAAAAGGAACTGAATAAAGAATCCTAATAAAATGGTATAGTTATTATTTTAACATTGCAACATATTGAATTAATTGAAATACTTTGAAACAATCTAACGAATAATGTTAAAAGAACAATATATTAATTAAATCACAAGCCAGTTTATGGAATAAAGCTTTAAAGTCTAAAAAGATTTTACAGTATCAATAATATCCCCAATATGGTATTTACATAGAATATTTTTGAAGAAGCTCAAGAAATTTCACAGAGGAACTGAATTTTTCCAAGGCCAACAATAATCTTAAATTCACTCAATGGCTTTCCATTAAATGGTTTTTCCATTTTTTTTTCTATTTGATAGAAAAAGGCAGTAAAAACTAGGAAACTAGTTTTCAATAGATGTATGATAGGTCATATTTTGAGGTGTGCATATTAGCAACTACACTTCTATTTCATAAGTAGTAATTATAGTGAAAAAAACTAGTTTGTATCTGGTCCCCAGGATCTACTCATTAAATGTGGTGAAAAAAAGTAAGACTTCAATTAATCAGCTATGGTATATAACTTAAAGTTTTCTACCAAAATTTGTAACTTTAAATCAAATTCTCCAATTACAGTGCCACAGACAATTCACTTCTCCTTTAAAAAAAAATCATGGAGCACTAAGTTTAATTCATAGAGTCATTCAATGCTTATTTATTAAGGGCTAGTACCAGGCCCTGGGCATATAAAGTACAATGAAAGAACACAGTTTCTCTCATTAGTATAGTAGGATCCTATATAGTAGGACAGTATCCTAGATAGTAGGACAGCCTACTATCCTGTCAATTTAAAAATCAACTAAAAGTCATACAACCGAAAAGCAGACTAATCTGAGAAACTGAAAGGGAAAGTAAAACAGCAAATAAAAAACAACACATAATGAATATCACTTTTCAGAACTACAGCTGACCCTTGAACAACATGAGTTTGAAATAAATGGGTCCAATTATATGTGGATTTTTTTTAAAAACTGTATTGGAAAATTTTTTGAAGATCTGTGATAACATGAAAAACATGCCAACCATGTGGCCTAGAAATATCAAAAAAATTAAGAAAAAATTATATCATGAATGCACGAAATATATGTAGCTACTAGTCTGTTATAATTTACTGCCATAAAATATATACAAATCTGTCATTAAAAATTATAATTTATAAAAACTTACATATACAAACACTTACAGACCATACATGGTGCCATTCACAGTTGAGAGAAATTTAAGTGCCTGCCATCAGGGGACGTGTGGGCAGATGTGCTGGTCTATCCCTGCCTTCATGGCCTCTGTCCTATGGTAGTTAAGCAGGGAGCTCGACCACTGTGCATTCAAAGAATCAGTACACTGCCTGACACAACAGAGAGCTTCCGAAAATAAACAAGAATCAAGTATATACCCAACTGCATTGGCTGCCTAGCGTCATCTACTGGCTTGTACATTAAATTGCACAGCCCAATATAAAACTTGCCCAAAGAAGTGCATAGGGCTATAGAAGCAAAGCCAAAAGACCCTAACCAGAATTCTCTGCAGTCTCACCCATAGAGAAAGGGGGGGAGGAGGGTACAGAAAAAATAAAATAACACTATAGGGAAATGAAGAAAGAAAAACAATCATACCTGCGAGAAAATAATGACAAAAATTAGAAGTACCAGTGTCTTCAGATGAGAAGGAACCAGTACAAGAATTCTGGCACCATGAAAAATCTCAATGTAGTGACACTACCAAGGGATGGCCTTAGAGCTGTCAAGCAATGGTCCCCAACTAAAATGGAAACTCATAAATGACAGAAAGAATTCAAAGCATGGATTGCAAGGAAGCTCAATGAGATTCAAGACAAGGTTGAAAATCGACACAAACGTCTAAAGCAAGCCAGGAAATAAGAGAGAAATATCTTTAAAAATAAATCAATGACAGCTTCAGTCATTAAAAAATTCACTTAAGGAATTTCAAAATACAATTGAATGTGTTAGCAACAGAAGAGACCATGTTGAGGAAAGAATCTCAGAGCCTGAAGACCAGTGTTTTGAACTAATACAGTCAACAAAAATAAAGAAAAAAGAATTTTTAAAAATGAACAAAGTCTTTGATAAAAATAGGATTATGTAAAATGACCAAATCTATGAATTACTGGCATTCCTGAGAAAGGAGAAAAAGTAAACAATCTGAAAAACATATTTGAGTGAATAATTCAAGAAAACTTCCCTAATCTTGCTAGAGAGGTAGACATCCAGATACAAGAATAGAGAATATCTGTGAGATACTACACAAAATGAACATCACCAGGATATATAGTCACAAGACTGTCCAAGCTCAATGCTAAAGAAAAAAATTTTAAAGACAGCTAGAGAAAAAGGTCAGATCATGTACAAAGGGAACCCCATCAGGCTAACAGTGGACTTTTCATCAGAAACATTACAAGCCAGGAGAGACTGGGGGCCTTTTTTAAGCATTCTTAAAGAAAAAAAATTCCAACTAAGAATTTCATATTCTGCCAAACTAAGCTTCATAAGCAAAAGAGAAATAAAACCTTTTTCAGACGAGCAAGTGCTAAGGGAATTCATTACCACTAAACCAGTTTTACAAGGGATCCTTAAGATATTTCTATACATGGAAATGAAGGAAAGATACCTCCTCTACCCAAAAACACACTTAAGTACATAGCCCACAGACCCTATCAGGAAACAACACAATAGAAACTACAAAGCAACCAACTAACAACTTTATGATAGCATCAAAATCTCACATTATCAATATTAATGTTGAATGTAAATGGTCAAAACACCCCACTTAAAAGGCACAGAATCACAAGTTGGATAAAAAGATTCATACATCTGCTGTCTTCAAGAGACCCATCTCACACATAATAACACCCAAAGCCTCAATATAAAGGGATGGAGGAAGATCTACCATGCAAATGGAAAACATAAATGGGCAAGGGTGGCTGTTCTTATATTAGATAAAACACACTTTAAGCCAACAAAAGTAAAAGTGAACAAATAAAGGTATTACATAATGATAAAGAGTTCAATTCAACAAGAAGACTTAACTATCTTAAATATATACACGCCCAAGTTTGGGGTATAAACAAGTATGTCTATACCTATGAAAAGACTTAGCCACACAGTAATAGTGGGGAACTTCAACACCCCACTGACAGCATTAGACACATCATCAAAGCAGAAAACTAACAAAGAAATCCTGAACTTAAACTTGACACTTGTCCAGTTGGACTTAATAAACATCTACGGGATACTCTACCCATCAACCACAGAATATATATCTTTCTCATCTGCACCCAGAACATACTCCAAGATCAATCACATGCTCAGCCACAATGCAAGTCTCAATAAATTTTTTAAAAAGTCACACAAACCATACTCTTGGACCACAGTGGAATACAAATAGAAATCAGTATCAAAAAGCTCTCTCAAAACCACACAGTTACATAGAAATTAAATGACCTGCTCCTGAATGACTTTTGGGTAAACAATGAAATTAAGGCAGAAATCAAAAATTACTTTGAAGTAAATAAAATCAGAGTCAGCATCAATCTGATACCAAAACCTGGCAAAGACACAACAGAAACAGAAAACTTAGCCCAATATCCCTAGTGAACATAGATGGAAAAATCCCCAACAAAATACTAACAAACCAAACTCAACAGTGTATCAAAAATTTAATAAATTTGATTGAACACATAAACAGAATCAAAAACAAAAACAAAAGCCATGTGATCATCTCAATAAATGTGAAAAAAGCTTTTGATAAAATCCAACATCCCTTCATGATAAAAATACTCAAGAAACCAGGAATCAAAGCAACATACCTCAAAATAACAGGAACCATTCATGACAAACCCACAGCAAACATCATACTGAACAGGTAAAAACTGAAAGCATTCCCCTTGAGAATGAACAAGACAAGGATGCCCACTCTCATCACTCCTATTCAACATAGTAATGGAAGTCCTACCCAGAGCAATCAGGCAAGAGAAAGAAAGGCATCCAAATTGGAAAAGAAGAAGTCAAATGATCTCTCTTCACTGATGATGTGATCCTATACTAGAAAACCCTAAAGACTCTGCCAGAAGGTTCCTGGAACTGATAAATGACTTCAGAAAAGTTTTAAGATAAAAAATCAGCACACAAAAATCAGTAGCATTTCTATATAGCAATATCGTTCAAGCTGAGAGCCAAATCAAGAACACAATCCCACAATTAGCCACATACACAAAAAAATATACCTAGGAATACATCTAACCAAGGAGGTAAAAGATTTCTACAAGGAGAACTACAAAACATTGCTCAAATAAATCTGAAATGACAGAAACAATTTTTAAAAAATTCCACGATCATGGATTGGAAGAATCAATTTCATTAAAGTGGCCATACTGCCCAAAGAAAGCAAGAGATTGAATGCTATTTCTATTCAACTACCAACATTAGTTTTCACAGAACTAGAAAAAAACTATTCTAAAATTCATATGGAACCAAAAAATGGCCCAAATAGCCAAAGCATTCTAAGCAAAAAGAACAAAGCTGGAGGCATCACATTACCTGAATTCATACTATATATAAGGCTACAGTAACCAAAACAGCATGATAATTGGTACAAAAACAGATACATAAACCAACAAAATAAAGAACGCAGAAATAAAGCCACACACCTACAGCCATCTGATCCTCAACAAAGTCAACAAAAATAAGCAATAGGGAAAGGGCTCCTTATTCAATAAATGGTGAAAAGACTTAGCCACACATTATCCCTGCTATTACGGGATAGTTGGCTAGCCATATGCAGAAGAAAGAAACTGGACCCTTATCTGTCACCATACACAAAAATTAACTCCAGATGAATTAAAATTTTTAAATGTAAGACCTCAAACTCTAAAAATCTAGAAGAAAACCTAGGGAACACCATTCTGGACATCAGCCTTGGGAAATAATTTATCGGGGGAACCCACCCCCAATATTTCAACGTAAGTCCTATTTTCCCTAAGTGTCGGCCAGTCTGAGAAATAAAGAGAAAGAGTACAAAGAGAGGAATTTTACTGGGCCTCCAGGGGTGACACAGCATATCTGTAGGACCGTGATGCCCACCTGGGCCACAAAACCAGTAGGTTTTTATTAAGGACTTCAAAAGGGGAGGGGGTGTACAAACAGGGAGTAGGTCACAAAGATCACATGCTTCAAAGGGCAAAAAGGATAACAAAGATCACATGCTTCTGAGGCCAATAAAGATCACAGGGCAAAGGGCAAAGCAAAGATCACAAGGCAAAGGGCAAAATCAAAAACTCCTGATAAGGGTCTATGTTCAGCTGTGCACGTATTGTCTTGATAAACATCTTAAACAACAGAAAACAGGGTTCGAGAGCAGAGAACCAGTCTGACCTCAAATTTACCAGGGTGGGGTTTCCCAATCCTAGTAAGCCTGAGGGTACGGCAGGAGACCAGGGTGAATTTCAGTCCTTATCTCAACTGCATAAGACAGATACTTCCAGAGTGGCCGTTTATAGACCCCTCCCCAGGAATGCATTCCTTTCCCAGGGTCTTAATTATTAATATTCCTTGCTAGGAAAAGAATTCAGCGATATCTTCCCTACTTGCACATCCATTTATAGGCTCTCTGCAAGAAGAAAAATATGGCTCTATTCTGCCCGACCCCGCAGGCAGTCAGACATTATGGTTGTCTTCCCTTGTTTCCTGAAAATCGTGTTATTCTGTTCTTTTTCAAGGTGCACTGATTTCATATTGTTCAAACACACGTTTTACAATCAATTTGTACAGTTACATACAATTATAGTGCTCCCGAAGTGATGTACATCCTCAGCTTACGAAGATAACAGGATTAAGAGATTAAAGTAAGACAGGTGTAAGAAATTATAAGAGTATTATTTGGGGACTGATAAATGTCCATGAAATCTTCACAATTTATGTTCAGAGATTGCAGTAAAGACAGGCATAAGAAATTATAAAAGTATTAATTTTGGGAACTGACATATGTCCATATTAAAATGAAATCTCCACAATTTATGTTCTTCTGCCGCAGCTCCAGCTGGTCCCTCCGTTCGGGGTCCCTGACTTCCTGTAACAATAATTTATGACTAAACCCTCAAAAACAATTGCAAGAAAACATAAATTAACAAGTAGGACCTAATTAAACTGAAGAGCTTCTGCACAGGAAAAGAAACTATCAATAGAGTAAACAGAAAACCTACAGAATAGGAGAACATACTCAGAAACTACGTATCTGACAAAGGTCTAACATTAGAATCTATAAGGAACTTAAAAAATTCAACAAGCACAAAACAAATAACACCATTAAAAAGCAGGCAAAAGATATGAATAGACACTTCTCAAAAGAAGACAAACAAGCAGCCAACAAACATGAAAAAATGCTCAACATCACTAATCTGAGAAAGGCAAATCAAAATCACAATGAGAAACCATGTCATACTAGCCAAAATGGCTATTACTAAAAAGTCAAAAAAAAACAACAGATGCTCACAAGGCTACAGAGAAAGGGGAATTAACACGTAGACACTGTTGGTGGGAATGTAAATTATTACAGCCACTGTGGAATGCTTTAGAGATTTCTCAAATAACTACCATTCTACCCAGTTCAACCCAGCAATCCTACTATTGGGTATATATCCAAAAGAAAACAAATATTTCTATCGAAAAGACACACGTTTGCATGTTCACTGCAGCACTATTCACAATAACAAAGACATGGAGTCAACACAAGTGCCCATCAACAGTGGGTTGGAAAAAGAAAATGTGGTATATATACACCATACAATACTATGCAGCCACAGAAAAGAATGAAATCATGTCCTATGCAGCAATGTGGATGCAGCTGGAGGCCATTATCCTAACCAAATTAACAAAAAAACAGAAAACCAAGTACCACATGTTCTCACTTATGAGTGGGAGATAAACATTGGGTAGTCATGGACATAAAGATGGCAACAACAGACAATGGAGGCTAACAGAAGGCTGAAGGAGACAAGGGCTGAAAAACTAAGTACTGGGGTACTATGCTCATTACCCAAGTGATAGGATCATTCACACCCAAAACTTCAGCATCATGCAATACATTCAGGTAACAAACCTGCATATGTACCCCCTGAATCTAAAATAAAATTTGAAAAACACAAAACAAACATAAAGATGCAGTATTACATCAAAACTATATAAAGTTAAATGTAGTACATACTATGCAACTGTAAAATTTTCAACCCCATCTCGGGTTGCTATTGTGGTGAGTGTATCTGCTTGAAATGCCGTGTAATGCTAATCATCTCCATGTGAGCAGTTCATCTCTCCAGTACATTTTATCATTGTAAAAAGTGATCATGGTTCTCACATATTTCTCATTGTTTAGTGCAATACCATAAAACTTGAGTAACACCATGTGACCCATATGAAGTGCCACTAGTGAAGCTAAAAGTGCTTTCAAGAAGCACAGAAAAGTCACATTACAAGAAAAAGCTGAATTCTGAATAAGTACCACACACTGAAGTCTGCAGCTGCGGATGTCCACTACTTTGAGATAAATGAATCCAGCAAAAGGACAACAGTAAAAAATAATGATAATAATAATAATTAAAGAGGAAATTCATGAAGCTGTCAATGCAGCTACATCAGCACATGCAAAATCCTTGGACTTTTTGCATAATACAAGATACATGTTAACTGACTGCCTATGTTATTGGTAAGGCTTCCACTCAACAATAGGCTATTAATAGTTAGATCTGGGGGGAGTAAAAGGTTATACACAATTTTTCAACTGCCTTGAGATGGAAGCCAGCCACTAACCCCTGCATTCTTTAAGAGTCAACTCTAGATTTTGGACAATTAAGAAAGGGAGGCAGGTAAAAAAGAAAATTAAAGATATAATGGAGAGACAAAAAAAAAAACATAAAGAGACACAAAAATGAAAGAAGATACTGAGAAACAGATTCATGAAGCAATCAAATAAGAGGCTGCAAAATGGAACTGTGACCAAAACATGTGCAGAAATGTATAACATGTTGGGGCAGGAGGTAGGTGCCTCATGGGTATCAGCTGCCTATCCCTTTTTTCACCTCAGCCGTAATCAATAGTAAACACATCTAAACATAAATTTCATAAATTTAAATGGAAAAGTAAATCAAAGACAAAGCAAAATCCCTAGAGAGAACTCACCACACCATATTACCCAATGAAACATAAATTAAATATGTTCTAGAAATATGTGCTAATGTCAATAAAGTTATTATGAAATTGGAATACAGGAGTGTAATCCCAGGCTCTTGAAAATATGAGACTAGGTTGATGCAAAAGTAATTGTGGGTTTTGTCATTAAAATGGCAAATGGCACAATCACAGCTCACTGCAGCCTCCTAGGCTCAAGTGATCCTCCCACTTCAGCCTCCCGAGTGGCTGTAACCATAGGCATGTGGCACCACACCCAGCTAATTTTTGTATTTTTTGTAGAGACAGCGTCTTTAACTCCTGGACTCGAGATCTTCCTGCCTTGGCTTTCCAAAGTATTGAGATTAAAGCATGAGCCACCATGCCCAGGCAAGTACTGATTTTATTACTGATTAAAGCCTACAAAACTACACAAGGTGATGACAAAGAACAAGGCAGTCGTATAATTAAGCAATCCTCTGACTCTCAGTGAAATCTAGTATTGTTATTTGACTAACACTGCCTTAAGTTTTTAAAAAGTAAACCATGTAAGCCATGAAATGATCTATGCTCAACAATAACCTCTAACATCTTTCTTCAAAACAGTATACTCCTACTCTAATTCCATAATATGAAAATGAAGGTAATATTAAAAAGTTATATCTTCCTTAATTTACCTCAAAACTATTAAACACATTTGAAGGATAACAAAAACTATATTTGTTACTAATAATAGAATATATCACTTAAGTACATGAAAATACTTAGAGTATATTTTAAATTTTATACACAGTGTTGGAGAGTTGAGAAGAAAACTGTTACTTCTCAAATTCACATATAATTACAGTTTTTATATATGTAGATATCACTATAGACAGACAGTAAATGAAAGATCTCAAAGGATGGGGATCAAGAAAATTTGATTTAAATTATTCTGTAAAAAAATTAACCATAAGCAAATATATAATTATGCAAGAAAAGAGAAAATAAATTGTATATTTTCTTAAAGAACCTCTTTCATTAATTCTTAGTTTCTCTTTCTTTTTTCTTTTTTTCTTTTATTTTTTTGATACAGGGTCTCACTCTGTCACCCAGGCTGGAGTGCAGTGGCGTGATCTTGGCTCACTGCAACCTCTGCCTCCCGGGCTCAAGTGATCCTCCCACCCCAGCCTCCCAAGTAGCTGGGACTACAAGCATGTGTCGCCACACCCAGTTAATTTTTGTATTTTTTGTAGAGACAGGGTTTCACCATGTGGCCCAGGCTGGTCTCGAACTCCTAGGCTCAAGCAATCAGCCCACCTCAGCCTCCCAAACTGCTGGGATTATAGGTGTGAGCCACCGCACCCAGCCAATTCTTAGTTCATTTTAATAAAGACTTTCCAGTACCTACATATTCAAGGCATTTACATTACAACACAATGAGTACTCTTTATTCTCCTTGCCTGCCTCATTGTTGTGGTTAGTAAATTTTTAGTAACTATACATTTTCTGATGAGATCTTTGTAAATTTTGTATTTATATCAGTAATGTGGTTTTTATACAACAGCCTGTGGTTTTTATAAATACCAATGGTACAGACACAGCTGGAATAACCTCATTCTATCAAAAAGCTCAAAGCCTACACCTAGACAAGGTGATGACAGAGAACAGAGCAGCCATATAATTAAGCGATGCTCTGACTCTCAATAAAATCTAGTATTGAGTGTTATTTTACTAGGATAAACTGCCTTAATGTTTAAAAAGTAAACCATGTAAAGAAAAAGCAAATATTTACTTGGCTACATGACTCATCTACATGATTTAATTTAGTTTTGAAACTTAACAAATAAAAAACGATGTAGCAGATACTATAATTTGACTTTTCAATTATTCACCAAACATTATTCAATCAAAAGAAAAATACCAAATTAAACATCTCCTCTTGAGAATTTCCAATATTATCATTATAATACATTCCACCAACCCAGAGTAAAAATTCTTCTTTAGCTAAATGTTTTATTAAAAGCCATCTGCTACAATTATACACTGGAGAACAGAAAGAAGACAGGCTTTACTCTGAGCAGTACCAGTAATCTGATGTGAATAAATGCAGGGAAAATTTTTCTGTCCATATAATGCTCAAGAAAGCAGAGAATTTTCAGAATCTTAAAATGGGCCACTCTTGCAGTTGTTTTTTATTATTTCAAAAAGAATTTTTGCCAGCAACTACCAAATTAATATTTGCAACTATTGCCCTTTTTGCTGTCTGATACAGGTTTAAACAAATGCTCTCTGGAGTTTATAAAACAGTGCTGCCTCTTTGCAAGTTTATATTGTTTTACTTTAGTCAATCGATATTTTTTCAGTTAATTAATTTAAAAAATTAATATGTATTATTATCCTAGCACAGTACCTGACACACAATAGGTACTTAAAGATGAACTGAATAGATGCTTTAATAGGTTAAAACCTTATTACATCAACCCTAGATGACCAATTAAATATTCTTTTGTGCTATCATTTTGACATGACATATATTTCCCGAGGCTTACCATGATATGTATTTGTTCTAACAAGAATAAACTTACATTAAGTTTCTATTTAACGCATTGATGCATAAATAGATGAAGCTGGCCAACTAGGATGAGAGTAGGGGAAGGAAGGAACATACTGATTTAACTCTCAAAGGCTTTCTGGATAACCCAAGCTAACTCATTAAATGGAAGCTGAAAAACTACATAAGCCACTCCCTATACTACATGCCCTCTCCTATCCTGCTCAGAAATATTCTTCAAGTCCCACCTCAGATATTCTCTCCTCTGTGAAGTCTTCCCTGGCTCACTCAAGCAGAGCTGTCACGATCTCTTCTGTATTCTACACATTTGATTAAGACAGTTATTATAACTTGTATCATAATAAAGTTATCTATCAGTGCATAAGCCTGGCTTTCCCTAGGCTGGACTCCTCAAGGGTGTGAAGTCTTTTGATCTACATAGCCCTAGAAACAATAGAGAGCCTAGCCCATAAAAGTTGATCAATCAAGAGTTGGTGAATAAGTGAATTAATAAGTGAATGAGAGTAATACCTGCCTTCTAGTCTTGATTATATAACACAGTATTTAGGAGTGATTTTTAGAGAATATAATTTGACTTTACTATATAGTTGAATTTGCATAATCACTAAAATAATTCATATAACCAATACAAAGTCAAATTTTAGAATGCAAATACTCCATGATATTCACCAACCAAAAAAAAAAAAATCCCAAACCAGAAAAATACAAATCTGACACTTCGTATTTCAGTATAATCAGCTATTATACACATCATGTGCTCTTATAAAAACTTTGTAACTGGAAGTTACCTAACACATGTATTAAATTAGAAACATGCCCTGACACCAATATCCATTATTAATATTAACATTGCTATTACTGTTGTTCATGATGTAATATCATATTGATAAAGATAGCAGAAGCTAATCATGAGTACTTACTATACGCCAAGCACTTCATCATTTTATGTAATTTACACAAAAATCCCGGTAGATACTACTATTAAGCCTGCTTTAAAAATGATGAAACTGAGGCTTAGAATGTTGGGACAATGTTCCAAGATCACAAATTAATACATGGGAGAGGTGAATCTTAAATCCAGGTCTATCAAACACTAGCACTTAAATCCTTTTAAAAGAATGAACTGCAGTGCACTATGATCACACCTGTGAAGAGCCACCACTCCAGTTTGAGCAACATGGTGAGACCCTGTCTCTTAAAAAAAAAAAAGAGAGAAGAAAAGAAATGGTATACACATATATATACACACACACACACACACACACACACACACACACACACACTCTCATATATAACCACATACACTTTCGAAAGAAAAGATTCATTTGGGAGAAAAACAGGAATTCAAGTGGTAG
This sequence comes from Homo sapiens, assembly GCF_000001405.40. NCBI lineage: Eukaryota > Metazoa > Chordata > Mammalia > Primates > Hominidae > Homo > Homo sapiens. The sequence continues at coordinate 174,403,136 of NC_000001.11, read as the reverse complement.
AGAGAAACACCTCATGGCATTATTATTTCTAAAAGCTTATCAATTAAAAGCATCTTTTGATTTTAACAAAGTATACAGTACACACGTTACATACAAGATCATTTTTACAAAAGACCACACAACTACAATCTAATATTTCCTATGTTATATAAACCAGCAGATATGATAGGCAAACTATACCATATATGTCATACAATTACTGAAAGTACACACACAGTTCTGTCATGCTACATAAAATTTGACTTGCCCTAAAACATACACAATCTCCATTTCAAATGGCTAAGAATATGTGAAAATGTGATCATTGCTTAGTGGGTCCTCAAGCCAACAATTAAGAAGTACTCATTTCAGAAGCTCTAAATACTGTTTGCTTGTTTCTACACAGGAACAAGGTCATGATCCTTCTATTGTCGTTTCAGATCACCTCAAACGTTATGAAAAATGCAGCTTAACAGGAATAATAAAAACATCTCAATGATAAACAATAAAGGACATAGGATTTCAGAAATATGTGGTAAAAGTCTTCCAGTGATTCATCAGCAGCAGTAGTACCCTACAACTCAGTGGCAGGAATCATGTAACAACAGACAATGGTTGAAGGCTCAAGACTCATCTTAAAAGAGATGACTTGAAGTTAGGCGCTTTAGAACTTCTTTCTTACTCACTGACTTCTAAGGTTTATATGTGTTTCCTGATAGAATAGTTTCTGAATTATAAATTTTCATTTCCATACAATGAACAGTATATAGAAATGAGATAGTGCTTTTATTTCTTCAACCTTTTCTTTATTACTCTTAATAACTGATGATCAGAAAAATATAGAGTTTTTCTAAAGGATCTTTACAAGACCAAAAGTAGGGATGAGTTGTCCCTTTCATTCTAGTTTTGGGTTTTTGAGTTCACGGATTCTACTATTTAGTAACCATGTGACAGTTTTCTTGATGGTAAAAATGGGAATCATATTACAGAAGCTGTGAGGCTTACATGGAAAGGATATATGAAAGCACTAGACATAATGTCTCCCACATACCCCATTAAATCCTTCAGGAAGCGTTTAGCATCTACTGAGGGGCAGTCCTAGCATTGAGTACTAAGGTTAGAGCAGTGAGCAAAACCCAGATACCATCTTTGCTCACTTAGACTGTAGAGTCTAGAGTACTCCCATGGGTCATACTGAACTTCTTACAGCCCCTGACCATGGCAGGACCTTTCACAACTCTGTGTGTTTATGTATGGCATTGCCTCAGCCTAAACACATACTCCCATTCTCTGTTCCTAGGCAGAAATGGCTGTATCCAGTCTTTGTCCTCACTTGTCACTTTGCTCATACCTGTGTCACAGTGCTTAACCATGTTATCGCTGCTTCTTTGCCTTTTTGACTATCTTCCCCCACTGGGCTGTAAACTCCTCAAGGATAGGGTATAGGTATTAGTCTTCTTTACATGTCTAGTGCTTAGCATAGCCTCTGATACAGAAGAGATACTGTTTGATAAATAATGAATGAATTAGCGGTACAAGTAGATAACAGGGTGCTACACACTTCCTGTTTTCTTTCTCCCCATTTCTCAGATGAATGTCTTGAAACCTGCACGGACCTCAAGAGCCCACAGTAATCTCCATATTTCCTATAGTACTTTCTGATGATGTTAATTCCGAAAGCTTACTTCAAACTTCATTTATGCATATATTGCTTTATAATTTTCCTCATTCCCCATCACGGGTGAGTGCTTATCATGTATTAGGCATGCATTGAGTGCTTTATATAAATTATCTTACTAAATTCTCACAACAATCCTGTAAGATACATATTATTATGCCTATTTTACCAAAAAAGGAAGTGAGACTGAAGATAGTTAAGGAGCTTGCCCAAGGTCACCAACCAGTAAGTAGCAGAATTTGAGATTCGAACCCAGGGTCTTCCTGCATAGTGAGCACTAAAATCTCCTCCTAAAGCGAAGCTACCACTGTTACCAAGGCAAGGTGTGCCTGAAAGCTCCTTCTGAAGTGGAGAGTGATTCAACACGGATTTACATATAACAGCTCTTCTGACTGGTCCTGCTTGGTCCTTGGTTCCAGATTGAGGTTATCAGTTGGTCTACAGCTCCTAACCTGCTTCATTTTCACTTGAATCTCATCCAGAGATTTTCACCCTTTTTTAAACTTTGGTCCCTAGAGTCATTTACTACCAGTCAAAATGATATGAAGAACTTTATTTTCTATAGATTATAAAACCAACAAGACCATATAAAGTATAATTGTTCCACATTGTAATCCCGGCCCTATTCTATGTTCAATATTACTGTCTATCCTACCATGGCAGGCCAATCATTGACCTACCATGATTCAAGGTGACTCAATCTACATGACCCACTACCATTGCAAAATTCTCTAGGGTACTAATTCTTAATGGCTGCCACCTCCTCCCTGGCAAAAAGAGAAGAGGTTAGTTCACCAGGAACAGCTGCTCAAATTAATCCATTGCTTATAGCTCTCCCCAACAAGATGAATAGGTTTCCTACAAAAAAGACATTGCTTCATACTTAAAAGCTTTATCCAGGACCTAACACAATATAAGGCTATAGTTGATGGAAAAGAAAAACAGAATAAATAACTATACAAATAAGTCAACTATGACCTTATGCTCCTCTTAGGAGGGAAAAAATTTTATTTATCATCTAGAATGTGTCAGGCAGGCCCTATGCCAGGCATAGGCTATTTCATAAGGAGCAATACAGTTGTGGTCTTTGCTCCTGTGGATTTTAAAGTCTGCTGGGGAAGCAGACATTAATCAATTGCAAGCACACTGTGATAGCCCCCTCCTCTGAAGCAAGCAATGGCTGCTGACATAGTATTATAATGGAGTCACAAAATCGAATATATTTGAGGACCAAACAGGCATTAAAAGGTATAAAAGATAGAGAGTAAGTAATAGAGTAATACGCCCATGGCAAAAGAAAGTATAAATTTAATCCCTAAGTGTATACCATTCTTTGATGTATTGATAGCCATACAAAGCATATTTGTAGGCTCCACCTAGCCTGCTGGCTGTATATTTGCCACCCCTGAAAGAATGCTTCAGAATGTGATTTGTGGGTTCAAATTCTAAACCAGTACATTCCTACTATAGATTTAAATGGTAGACTACTTTTTCATGGAAGCCAAACCTTAAGTAAATTTTCTGAAATATGATATGGTTTGGCTGTGTCCCTACCCAAATCTCATTTGAATTGTAGTTCCCATAATCCTCATGTGTCGTGGGAGGGACCAGGTGGAGATAACCGAATCATGGGGGCGGTTTACCCCACAGTGTTCTCGTGATAATGAGTTCCCACGAGATCTGATGGTTTTATAAGCATCTGGCATTTCCCCTGCTCATTCTTCTCCTTTCTGCCACCATGAGAAGAAGGATGTGTTAGCTTCCCTTTCCGCCACGATTGTAAATTTGCTGAGGCCTCCCAGCCCTGTGAAACTGTGAGTCAATTAAACCTCTTTCCTTTATAAATTGCCCAGTCTCAGGTAGGTCCTTATAGCAGTGTGAGAACAGACAAATATAAAATACTTCATATTCCTTCTTCCCTGTGTAATCTGAGGCCTCTGGTAGGGTTTTTATAAAGCAATTTTTTATAAAGCAATTGTTTGTTCAAGCTGAACCATTTCATTAACTAACCTTGAAATCTTGCCATTCCCTTAATAAGACAGGAAAAATTAACTGGACCAAAAGAAAGGACGAACAGCTGCTGAACCATGACCAACAAGTGCCAAATATGCAGGCACTTCTTACAGAAAATACTCTTGAGTGTTCATGCCCTTTCCACTTAGTGACTATAAGCTCAGATGTATTCACCACCAAAGTACCCACATACACTCTTGGCTACAGGCACTTGTCATCTCATTGCTACCCCAAGGACAGTGAAAGGAAAAAATCATTTTTAGAAAAAATGACATTATTCATTTTACTATAATGCAAGGAAGACAATGAAATTAAATATACCACTGTACTTTATGTCAAAGAAGTCTTATGATTTGAGACCCTGAATAAACGCACATGATTAGAGCCACACATTTCTATATTGTTTGTATGAAAATGTTTTTGATAACTGTATTAACAATAGAAATAACATTAAAAACTTAAAGTTGTCATAGATTTATAAGCTGAATGTGAAAATATTTATTATACTAACTGAATTACACATTGCTAATCAATCTCAAGTGGCAATTAGTAAATATTTACAGTTCTAAAATAAATTAAGTTTACATATATTTTTAGAATAATTCATTCCATAATAGATCTCAACTAGTGTCACTATTAAGAGGCAGTTGGGGAACAGAAAGGTAGTTTTCTACTCAATACCTATTTTCTCTTTCCTGTTTACAAAAAGCCTAGATTTTCGGGGGTGGAGGGATAAATCAATGTGTCTATCTTTTAAAAAACATTTCTAGTTTTCCATGAAGATAGTAGCCAGAATTCTGGTCAAGAATATATAGATGGAGTTGTTGTTTGGTGCTTAAGAAAAAGTCTTTAAAAGGGTGATAGACTGGGTTCAGAAATGCCAAAGAGAGGTCTAGCCTTTTTTCCAGCCCATGGACAGTAACCTTTTAACCCTTGAAATTTCCTGAATAACAGGATTGTTATTTGTGGTGGGCCCCTCTAACCACATCTGATAGTTTATGTTAATCAGATGATTCATGGTAAGCCCCCAGATAGTTTACACTAAGAAGAAGACTCATGACGTAGGCTGGCCAAGCCACAAAGACCGACCATGTGATTACAGCACTGGGGTTTTGAGCCACGCAACAGCCCCAATACAATATGGTTTGGCTGTGTCCCTACCTTCTTTTCCTCTGGGGAGGAAAGAAGGGGAGCGTAGAGATTGAGTTCTACCAGATAGGTAATGATCCAATCAATCATGCCTATGTAATAAAACTCCAATAAAAACTCTGGACACCAAAACTAGGTGAGCTTCCTGATTGGCAATATTCCAAGTGTATATTGCTACATATTGATGCTAGGCAGGTAATGAGCCCTTGAGGATAATACCAGGAGGGTAACATATCCGTGAGAATGATGGAAGCTTCAAATTTGGAATTCTCCTAGTCCCACATTCTGCCCTATACATGTCTTCCTTTGGCTGGTTCAGATTTGTATCTTTTTGCTACTAAAAAAACAAACAAACAAAAACACTAAACTACAATTGTTTAAGTATAGCACTTTACTGAGTTCTGTGAGTTATTCTCGCAAATTATCAAACCTGAGGAAGTCTGTGAGGATCTACAAGTTTGAAGCTAGTTGGTCTGAAGTCAGGGTGGCACTAAGAACCCCCAAATTGTGGCTGATGTCAGAAGTCTTGAACAAAGCTGGCAGTCTGGAGGACTGGGCTCTTAGCCTCAAGTCTGGCTACCTTGAGTAGACTTTGTTTTTCTTTTCTTCTTTTCTAAATGTAATGCTGGGTGTAGAAAAGCCATCTTGTGAAAACAAGGAGAAAAATACATGCCAAGTGTATCAGACAGGGTTTAATCAGGTAAACTATTTCAAAAAAGATGTAATGCAGGAATGAAGGTCCTTAAACACTGAAAGAGCTGAAAGGGCAAAAGACTGAAGACTGAACATCCTGCTGTAGCAGTCTTTTGCCCTTCCAGCTCTTTAGGTGTGTCACCACAGCTACAGTCCAGAGAATCAGAAGGCTGCTGTGGCCACTCAGGATAGGAAACCACAGGAAACAGTAACCCCAGAGTGAAGGCAAGTGATTGAGAATGAAATGCCCAGAGGCAGATGCAAAAACCTCACAACTGGTGAAGCCCAGGTATCTGCCAACCACACTGCCAGAGAAAATATGGCTTTTGCCTCCCCGCAATCTTCACTGGCAGAAAGTAAATCACAGCTAGAACTCCAGAGGGAAGAAATCTAAAAAATGTAATTTATCAGCCTCCAAGTATCTTCCATATATTTTATTCAATGAAAATGATTTTTGCCATTCTGTTTTTTGTGGTTTGAGACTGGGTCTCACTCTGTCACCCCAGCTGAACTGAAGTTTGATGGCACAATCACAGCCCACTGCAGCCTCGATCTCCTGGGCTCAAGCAATCCTCCCATCTCAGCCTCTCAAACAGCTGGGACTACAGGTATGTGCAACCATGCCCAGCTAATTTTTTTTTTTTTTTTTGTAGAGACAGCGTCTCACTATGTAGCCTAGGCTGGTCTTGAAATCGTGGGCTCAAGCCATCCTCCCACCTCCACCTTCCAAACTGTTGGAATTACAGGCATGAACCACTGAGCCCAGCCCTATCTCTTGATCTTAAAGTATTTTTTGCAAGTTGTATAGTTAAAACTACCATGGTGTTTGGTATAAATGATAAAAATTTTCTCACTATATGAACATACACTGTTTATCAAGAATTCATAAATAATATCAGGGGATGGTATTCTTTAC